>NC_000001.11:55462925-55614441 GCF_000001405.40 Homo sapiens | reverse complement strand
ACACTGATGTCCTTATATGGTATATAAAGAGTTTTATGTTATTTTTTCTTTTAAAAAAAACTGTCTTTGAACACATCGAGTTGAATGAAATTACTGCTCATTTCAACAGGACACAATGAATTCATCAAAATAAAGCAACTGTTGACCTTTTTGTGTTTTCTGTTGAGAGTATAAATTATCTTATTCTTTGCCATAATTTTTATTTCCTTTTTGCTTTTGTGCTTTCTGTCTAGAAGTGTCTTGCTTCTCATCATCATCTTTTTACTTCTGTTGTCAATTTCATTCTATTTTCTAATTCTTTTCTTATCTTCATAATTTTGACCAACAGAGATTTTAGTTATTTTTGTGATATAATAAGAGAGCTTTGACATTTAAAGTTTCAGCCAGTATTCTTTTTTTTTCAGTTTACCCTTTTGGCTTCCACTGAAATAGTTCTGTCTCATAAAACTTGATTTCATGTATAATCAATAATTCTGAAAAAAAGATACAAAATTAATCTAAAATTGAGATATAGCAAGAAAAATTCAAATCATTTTAAAATTATCTCTAGTTTTTTAGCTACATAGTTATACTATTAAATTGTTCTTAAACAGTATACAGGGACTTGTTGATGAGCATGTACAGAAATGTTGCCACTGAAACACCTGTCTCACAAAGCTGTATCACTGCATTCGTGGTAATTTTAGGTTCCGTTTCTTCTGGATCCAAATCACACTTTGTGAGAACCAGATGTGTCAGATATATCATTAAGACAGTCCAGATGCTCTAAGATACAGCTTGACAGTTTGGGATGCATAAGACATGAGACCTCACACTGAGGTACTCGCTATTGGTAATACTGATACAGGTCTGTGCCCTGTGAATACAGGAATGCTCATTAAAAAAACAACAACTCTATTTCATGCAACTAATGCTGGGAACACTTTTAATTGCACACACTGCCTTGTTTAATATACTTCTTGTGGATGGGAACTTCCATTTTGACTAGGTGCCAAGGAGAACCAAATCCACCACTTAGAATTTTAAACATCTGATCTTTATAGGCATTTTCCACAAACTAGCTTCTGATCCCTTTTTGTTTCTCCTCCTGTATTCATGTATTCCTGCTGCCATAGAATAGCAGACACGTTCATATTGGGATCCTGCCTCTGGCTTTGCCAGAGCACAGTGGGTGGTAGAAATGGTTTTGGAAGACTTTTCTACCACAAGATGTCTATCACAACTTAACTATGAATGGAGGAGACAGTGATTCACATGAATAAATCTCATGAAACTCAAACCAAATGCATCCCCAATTCAACTTCGCCTCACCAAATTCCAGCAATGCCCACAGCCTTCCAATGCCAGCAAATACAAGGGGAAGTGTGACATATTAGAAGTTGGAGTAGAGAGGCAATGGCCTGAGCTAACTTAAGTAATGCCTTACTTTTGAACATTGTACACACACATTTATATGACTATGCAAAGGCATTGCTGGAGCCCTTCTCAGAGCCTTGGAAGACACCTATACAAGTGAGAAACCCTAAAGCTTAAGTGTCATTAGTCTCAGGGTAAATCCACCCCTGCTTGGCAGTCATAAACACTCTTCTTCACTTGGATTGCAAGAGAAAATTAGACCCTCAGGCCACTCCTTACCTGGCCTAAGGTTTATCTACAAAGTTCTCTTACATGTTAAATCATTGGGATGTATTATGTATTAGGAGGCAGTAAAATTCTTCATTCTTTGCTGCTCAATATATATTCAGGATTTTTTATAAATGACAGCATGATGTGATCACACCCAATGTGTTTGATCTACACTACTCTGTTACCATACACTTCCTAACCCTCATCACCTCCAAGGAGGTGTCGTTTTATGGACTCTCTGGAATGAAGACCGTGCCGTGGAGCATGGAGGTAAGAAGTTTTAAAGCACCATTTCAAGGCATTTATTGACTCTCTACTAGGTGCCACATGCTGTTGCACATGCTGGAAATACAAGACTAAACAAGCCCCTGCTCTCAGGAAGCTTACATTTTATTGGTGTCGGGGGGAAGGATAAACAATAAACAAGCAAACAAACATCAAGTAAAGATAAGTAAAATGTGGAAAAAATAGAACTTGGAAATTAGAGGGGGTTGTGGAAAGGCAGGGTTGCTACATCACAGAGTGTAATCAGAGAAGGTCTCTCTGAGGAGATGACCTCTCATTTGAAATGAGACATGATTTAAAAGAAGGCAGCCATAAATAAGCAGATATAAGGGTATTTGTGCTATAGAAAACAGCAAGTAAAAAGGCCCTGAGGCAGAAATGAGGTTGATACAGTCAAACAACAGAAAGCAAGCCAGGCAGACCAGGGTAAAGTAGGGAAGAGGGATAGCAAATGACCTCAGGGGCAGGTCCTAGGGAGCCATAACATAGACTGGGATTTATTCTGAGAGTGATGAGGAGCCTCTGGGAGGGTCTTGAACAGGAGAATGACATGGTTGGCTTATGTTTTCAAGGGTCACTTTGACTGCCACACAGAGGCTTGATCACAGAGGAGAGAGAACAGAAATGGGGCCATCAGCTATGTGACTATATCAGGAGCCCAGTAGATAACGATGGCTTAAACCTACAGAAAGTGATTTTACCGAACTATCCTCACTTAATGATCAGGAGTTGGCTTATGTTCTGCCCACAAAGTGCCCTACCTGTTCAGCCACTGACACTTAAGGTGGTGACAGGAGAGACAGAGGGGAGAGCCTACCTGATGCAGGAATAAGCAACGTCGAGAAATCCAAGGTGACTCCTAGGTGTCTGGCCTGAGCACGTGGGTGAATTACAGTGCCCTATTATTAAATGGGGAGGACCAAGAGATAAGTTGTGGGGCAAAGCAGTTGTAAATCAAAAGTTTTGCTTTGGCCATGATGAGCTTGAATGTTTCTTAGACATCAAATGCCAAGTAGGTAGTTGATATTGTAATAAAACATCTTGGTCGGGTGTGGTGGCTCACTCCTGTAACCCCACACACACCCTACAGGCACAGAGAGGCTGATGCAGGAAGATTGACTGAGGCCAAGAATTTGAGACCAGCTTGAGCAACATGGCAAGAGCCCAGCTCTACAGTTTTGTTTTGTTTTGTCTTGTTTTTTAAGTGAGGCACAGTGGGGTCAGACTGTAGTCCCAGCTACTCAGAAGGCTGAGGTGGGAAGATCACTTGAAACCAGGAGTTTGAGGTTGCACTGAACTATGATAGCACCACTGCCCTCTAGCTTGGGCAACAGAGCGAGACTTTGTCTCTAAAAATAAAAAATGAAAAACAAAATAAAGAATCTGATTCCAAGTTTTGCATTTGACCACTGACAGATTTCAGGCCCTGCCCTCCATCTTTTGTGCTTGTCCCACATCTGTGCAAACTGATAGAAAGATTGGGTACTTGGTCTGCAAGACCTAAACACCAGTCTGCTGCTCCACTCCTTTCTTTCCCTCCAACCCAGGCCTCCTTCTTTAGAGCTAAAGAAACCTTTGCAGTTTAAGCTTAGCTATCCATTAAGCTTCTAAATTGAGATTCTACTCCTGTGGTTGGCCTGAGTTGTGGGTTCAGGGCTCTGCCTGGGTTACTGTTCCTGAGTTAAGATCTGTGGCCCTGCCCAGCATCCCAGTCCTGAACCAGGTCAGAGTTCACCCCTAATCCCCAACCCAGGGTTGGGGCCCTGGTGACCTGACCCAGGGTCCTTCCTACTTTCAATGATATCCTCCCTAGGGCCAGATCTTATCCCTGAACCCCTGGTCAGTGGTCCAGTGACATATGAACACCACCCTCTTATCTGATTCACATGTGCTGACTCCCATAAGGTCCCCCCTTCTTGGACCCAAAGTAGCAAGAAGTAAAACTTCACCCCTATTATAGCATTTAGCACTTTGTGTCCTCAGTTTTAGATGTGTCTGTCTCTCTTGCTAGGGTATTCCCTTAGCCATCTTAGGGAAGCACGTGCATGCACACACACACACACACACACACACACACACACCCTACAGGCACAGAGCAGGCCATCAGGAACTGTTTACTGAATAAATACAGAAAATCCTGGGCACTAGGTGAGAAGATTGGAAAGGCTTGGTGGAATAGTCACAGAAGAATTCATTTTATTTTGACGATGAGGACTCGTGTGGTAAAGGGAAAACTAAGTCATTCCTTTCTTCAAAAGTAAATACATTTTGAAAAGTTTCAGGAATGATAAAAATTCCTCAGTAGAGTCAGGCTTCCACTTTAAAAAGTCAGATTTCCTTTCTTCTTAAAGCAAAAACTAAGTAAATAAAGAAAAGATTTACATATGAGGCAAGATTTGAACATGAACCTCTTTTGCTTTGGTTCTGGGTGATGAGAATGAGGGGCTTTACAAACAATGCCCAAACCATGAAATATTTAGAATTGTAGGAACTTTGGGTTTCTGTTCTTGCCTGCAAAATAAAGGAAAAAAAAAATAGAGGGTCTCAAGATAGCACATTGACTTACTCAAGGTCTCATTGACTGGGACCTGCATATTGGCCACTGCATAGTGTCTCTTAGAAAATCAGAGGGTATGCTATAGCTATTCCAGCATGGACTTTGGAATTAAAAAGACCTGGGTTTGGATCCCAGCTCTGCTATTTGCTAACTGTGTGACACTGAGCAACTCCCTGAGCCTTAATTTCCTCCTCCATAAAATAGTTATGACAAGGACATAGAAAATTATACTAAAAATGCCTAGTACCCAGTGCTTTTTTTCCTGGCCCCTAGAACATTGATCATTACCTGAGGGGGTGCAAAGCAGTTCTTAGCATTTTGGGTTCAGAAATGTTGCACTCCCATTGATATGATTTGGCTATGTCCCCACCCAAATCTTATCTTGAATTGTAGTTTCCATAACTTCCATGTGTGGTGAGAGCGACCTGGTAGGAGGCAATTGAATCATGGGGGCAGTTTCCCCCATGCGGTTCTTATGGTAGTGAGTAAGTTCACATAAGATCTGATGATCTTATAAAGTGCTTTCCTCTTTGCTCGGCTGTCATTCTTCTTCTCATTCTGCTCTCATTCTGCCACCATGAGAAGAAGGACATGTTTGCTTCCCCTTTCACCATGATGGTAATTTTCCTGAGGCCTCCCCAGCCCTGTGAAACTGTGAGTTAATTAAACCTCCTTCTTTTATAAATTATCCAGTCTTGGGTATGTCCTTATAGCAGCATGAGAATGGACTAATACAGTAAATTGGTACTGCAGAGAGCAGGGTGCTGTTATAAAGATACCCAAAAATGTGGAAGCAACTTTGGAACTGGGTAACAGGCAGAGGTTGGAACCATTTGAAAGGCTCAGATAAAGACAGAAAAATGTAGGAAAGTTTCGAACTTTCTAGAGATTTTGTGGGCTCAGAAGATAGGAAGATGTGGGAAAGTTTGGAACTTCCTGGAGACTCGTTGAGTGGCTTTGACCAAAACATTGATAGTGAAATGGACAATGAAGTACAGGTTGAGGTGGTCTCAGACGGAGGTAAGGAACTTGTTGGGAACTGGAGTAAAGGTCACTCTTGCTATGCAAAAAGACTGGTGGCATTTTGCCCCTGCCCTAGAGATTGTGGAACTTTGAACTTGAGAGAGGTCATTTAGGATATCTGGCAGAATAAATTTCTAAGTGGCAAAGAGTTCAAGAAGAAGCAGAGCATAAATGTTTGGAAAGTTTGCAGCCTAGTGATGTGATAGAAAAGCAAAAACAATTTTCTGGGGAGAAATGGAAGCTACTGCAGAAATTTGTAAAAGTAATGAGGAGCCAAATGTTAATCGTCAAGACAATGGGGAAAATGTCTTCAAGGCATGTCAGAAAACTTCATGGCCGCCCCTCCCATCACAGGCCCAGAGGCTTAGGCAAAAAATTTTTCATGGGCTGGGTCCAGGGCCCCCCTCCTATGTGCAGCCCTGGGATTTGGTGCCCTGCATCCCAGCCGCTCCAGGCTTGGCTAAAAGAGGCCAGGGTACAGCTCAGACTGTTGCCTCAGAGGGTGTAAGCCCCTAGCCTTGGCAGCTTCCACATAATGTTGGTCCTGCAAATGCAGAGAAGTCAAGAATTGAGATTTGGGAACTCCACCTAGGTTTCAGAGGATATATGGAAACACCTGGTTGTCTAGGCAGAAGTCTGCTGCAGGGGTGGAGCCCTCATGGAGACCTCTGCTAGGGCAGTGTAAAAGGGAAATGTGGGGTCAACGTCCCCACACACAGTCCCCACTGAGGCACTGCCTAGTGGAGCTGTGAGAAAAGGGACTGTGTCCTCCAGACCCCAGAATGGTAGATCCTCCAACAGCTTGTACCGTGCACCTGGAAAAGCTGCAGACACTCAATGCCAGCCCATGAAAGCAGCCCAGAAGTGGGGCTATACCCTGCAAAGCCACAAAGATAGAGCTGCCCAAGGCCATAGGAGCCCAGTTCTTGCATCAGTGTGACCTGGATGTGAGACATGGAGTCAAAGGAGGTCACTTCAGAGCTTTAAGATTTGACTGCCTCACTGGATTTTGGACTTGCATGGAGCATGTAGCCCCTTCATTTGGCCAATTTCTCCCATTTGGAACAGGTGCATTTACCAAATGCCTGTACCTCCATTGTATCTAGGAAGTAACTAACTTGCTTTTGATTGTACAGGCTCATAGGCCAAAGGGACTTGCCTTGTCTCAGATGAGACTTCGGACTTGGGCTTTTGGGTTAATGCTAGAATGAGCTAAGACCTTGACGAACTGTTGGAAGGGCATGATTGTGTTTTGAAATGTGAGGACATGAGGTTTAGGGCAGGCTGGGGTGAAAGGATATGGTTTGGCTATGTCCCCACCCAAATCTTATCTTGAATTGCAGTTCCCATAATCCTCATGCATGATGCAAGGCAACTGATGGGAGGTAATTGAATCATGAGGGCAGTTTCCCCCACGTTAGTCTTGTGATAGTGAGTAAGTTTTCACAAGATCTGGTGGGATTATGAAGGGCTTCCTCCTTTGCTAACTCTCATTCTTCTCCTTCCTGCCACCATGTGAAGAAGAATGTGTTTGCTTCCCCTTCTGCCATGATTGTAAGTTTCCTGAGGCCTCTCAAGCCCTGCAGAACTGTGAGTCAATTAAACTTTCCTCCTTTATAAATTACCCAGTCTCAGGTACGTCCTTATAGCAGCATGAGAATGGACTAATACATCCATAGAAGATTCTCATTAGACCAAGCACAAAAAAATAAAAATTCTTAATTGTTCTCAGCCTTATGGAAAGATGGTTTTCTGGGTGGGGGCGTTGGGGAGGAGACTTGAATTATTAGGTTAAAAAAAAATCCAAGAGATTACATCTCCATTCAAAGTTGAAATAGCCACAGAACAGAATCTAATCAAGTTTTGTCAAGGAAAAGCCAAGATAAATGCATGAGATGGCTCCAGTTGAACAAGATACTCCACCCTGTCATGAGTGTGCAGTGCCAATGTCAAGGTAGTGCCCTGAGTATGGTCAACAATAAGGAACAGACCTGGAACATGTTGGGTCTCTTTGATGCTCTCCACACTGGCCTCTAGAAGCAAGGTGTAAAGAGCATCTCCGTTCATTTGATTAATCTTAAGCATGACTCTAAGAATTTTCCACCAATGTGGATGCCCAGACAGGAAAGAGAAAACTTGAATAATAAATGAAGACAATAAATAAATGAAGATTGTGGTTCAAAGCTCCCCTTGTGCAAATCCAGTAAAATTACAGGCCTTAAAGTGACAGTTCTCATTATGGGAGGCAGAATTTCCCACCAAGATTTGTGGTGGGCTTTCTAAATCTGAGTTAGGTGAACATGACATTTTTACATTTAAACTATTTTTAGTCTCTTTGTTTTTTGTGTCAACATGCACTTTCTCTCCTTCTCCCTCCTTCCCTTGAAGAAGGAAAAAAAAAGAGCCTCTCAATAGTTTTTAGGTAACTCGTGGTGGAGAGGCAGGCTAGTCCACTGGAAAGAACATAGATTTGATGGTCAGATAGATCTAAGTCGAACACCTTTCTCCACTGTAGGTAGGTGATTTTAGATAAATTATTTGTCTTTGCTAATCTTTGCCTTCTGCATCTGTAAAATGGAAAGGCTAATTCTTACTGCAGAGTTATTGTGAAATTTAAAATTAGCATATGTAAAGCTTGTTCTCCCATAATGAATAGTCCCTATTATGAACAATAACAGTATTTATTCCAGGCCCAAATCATCACCTCACTCAATCTGACCATCAGGTCACTCAACCCTGACCCCTTGTTTCCCCAGAAATGAAATTATGACTAAAGGGAGCATAGGCTTTGGAATTGTCTCCAAAACTAATGAGCTAGGCAGCCTTGAGAAATTTTTCAACCTTTCTGAGACTCAGTTTTCTTATTTGTAAAATGAAAATTATAAGATTTTGAGTATTTGATGAAATCATCTATTCTAACATTTGTCCTACCCACTAAACTGCAAGCTTCTTGCAGATAAGGCCATATTTGTGTGATTTGCTTCTGTTTCCTCAAAACCTGGCACCACAGTGCACAATCCCAGAAGCTGGAGTTCTGAAACCTGCTGTCAAATGGCTTGTCTTCATGCCCACTGCCTACCTACCATCTGCTGCCAGACTGTCCCCAAACTTTCTGTCTTTCCCTTGAATGCCCTGCAGTGGACTCCCTCATGGTGACTACTTGCCTGCATAACTCAAGGGGCAGAGAAGAAGTCTGCCAATAGCAAATTGGCAGAGTCCATCATGTCCCCTCCTCCCAGGATCTGCCCCAGTGGACCTCCCTGACAAAAAGCCAGGGCCTAAGGGAGTGATGGAACTATGGAGAAGTATGTTTCAGTAGATGGAACAGCATGAACAAAGGCTTCAAGGCTTGAAAAGAAAATGGAAGCAGTTTAGGCTGAGTGAGGACACTAAGGAAGTGTTGTGAAGTGGTGCAGACCAAGTGCAGCTTCAATGCCAAGAAAGTTGGGCTTTATTCTTTGGGAGCCTCCAAGTATTTTGAAGAGGGAGAAGCAGTGATTAGAAGCTCAACCAAGAAGATGAATCTCACACTAATAAAGATGTTTATTAGTGTGGGGAGAGCTGGAAGCAAGGAGACGAGTTAGAAAGCTGACATAGTGCAAACAAGTGGCTTGCTCAAGCTCAAGGAGGACTCATGAGAAAGAGTCACACCAAACATTACTGTATGTTCTCTATAGCTCTTTTCGAGGAAAACCCTTGGATAACTTTAAGTCGGTGACCTAGATTATAATCCTGGCCATAATCTGCTGGGTGACTTTGGCAAGCCACTTCACCTCTCTAGGGCTCCCTTTCCTTATCTACAGAATAAAGGGCTTGGATCAAAATATCCCTTTCAGCGCTGCATATTCATTGTGCTCTCCACAAGTTCATTACATTTCCAAGCACCTGTGAGAGAATGATAAGACACTTTGATTGAAACCAGAAAGCCAAGTCATCCAGGGAGACCCCCACCAGGCTTCTCCAGATGTGGGCCATTATCATTTAGCACAAAGGACTGCCAGGCAGCTAAAACAGAATATTCCGGGAAATTGCTCCATAACTGGGCATTTCTCCTTGTAAGCTTAAATCAAAGCACTCTGAGAATAAACTGTTCCCACAAGGGAGATAATATTATTTCTCCTGGCCTGAAGGCAATAGATGTGTGTGTCTGCTCATACTTCTCCGATTCACCAAATCTCAGAGGCCATAATACATTTCCAGAGGTAGCCAACCAGCTGTCACACAACTGGAAAGGAGCAAAATAAAAAGAATAATGGGAGCCTGATATTTCCATCTTGCTGGTGTCTCTTTGTCTCTTTGGTGAAACCAGCAGCTGGTAAGATAAAAGCAAAAAATAACAAGAAACATCCAAAATACCAAAGGGTGTCAAAAAAAAAAAAAAGGCAGGAGAAGGAACAGAGGAAAGAGAAAAAGCAGAAGCAAGGTCTTGGGACAGAGACAGTGTGGTACAGTGAACTGGGAGGAGAGGAAAGCCACAGCTTGAGTCCAGGGCCACATCTGTCCTGGTGCCAAGCACAAGCTTGACTCCTGGGAGCTTTTCAGCTCTCACATTCTGGGGTTCAACCTCCCCAGTGCAGATCAGGTACTTTCTAGCACTTGGGCTTCCAGGAGAGAAAAAGAACAAGTTTTGGAGTATGTATGTCACACCAGGCATTTACCAGCATATGATGTCAGACAGCTTGTTTGGCCTCTCAGAGTATCTGTTTTCTCATCTGGAGAGCATGGAAAGTCACATCTACTGTATTTCATCAAATCTAACACACCACACACTGTAAGATTCACCATTGTTTTATGTACAGTTAGCAAAAGAGAAACAAAAAATAACCTTGACAATTAAATCACAATATAAGGCTCTCATCACATAGACTGTAAGATTCAGCCTGATCTTAAAGATGTTAACATGTGGAAACAAGAGTCTTAGAATCTATGAAATGCAGCATTTGCAAGGTTGTTGAGAACTCTAAAAATGAGGCCATCTGTGGAAAAATGCCTAGTGCAGTGCCAGACATACTTTAGGGACAAATATATATTTGTGATTTCCATTATAATCACCATCATAAAACAATTATCTGAGGCCTCAGCAATTTCCTGGGAAGTGGGGTTGGACGTGGACACTGTGCTATGTCTCCTTTTGCTCCTTTCCACCTAGCACCTAATCCTTTAGAACACTTAGCAGATACCCACCACGTACCACCAAGGTGCTGAGGGCTTTAAGTGTTGATTTGTCAGCCAACTCATTGAGTTGATCCATATAACTGCGAGAAATGCTAACACTATGGTGACCATAGCTTGAACCATCACCCAAAGTTGTTGTCCCTGCCAACTGTTTGACAGAAGTGATGCCTCTGGGGAGGTAGAAGGTGGGAGAGTGAAGGCCACCATTTTGACTGCCCACCAGAGTCTCTGCTGCTTAAGTGGGTGGCCAGAGGTGACCTGCCCCTTTAAGGATTGTGTTAAAGCTCACATACTTTGTTTTTAATCTCTTTCTCCCCACTCTCTCATATTTTTTAATTTTTTATTATTTTTTCAAAAAAATTCAATATGATCCTTTAACTATGTCTATGTACATTTTATTTAACTTTTTACCCTTACATTTTTAGCTTTTAAATTCTTATTCATACTTTAAAAAAATCTTCTTACATGTTAACTTCCTCACCTCATCTGTTATGATCTATAGTCATTATCCTTTATGTCTTTTATTTTCATATTTGTATTCATTGATTTTGTATGGTGGGAAAACTTCTTTTCTCTATCCTCCTGCTTTACTGGCTGGACCCTGGAATCAAATTAATAAGAAACAGGGGGAAAAAATAAGTTTAATTATATACACATGCAGCAGAGTTCACAAAGAAATGAAAACTTAAGGAAGTGACCAGATGATTAAGACTTGTATACCATCTTAAGGTAAACAAGGAAAAAGCAGGTTTGGGCTTCTGGGAGCAGAAAAGTGGGGTTTGGGCTTCTGGAAACAAGAGGTAAGTTGTGGGAAGATGAGGGGGGATTGTGTGACACACAAGAGCTGTTTAGTGATCCAAGTAAGAGGCTCTGAAGTTATAAGAGCTGTCCCAAGGAGTAGCTTTCTTCCTGGGAGGAGACACATTTACAAATGTAAATTTCCTTTATAAATGTACCTTTCCTTTGCAAAAAGGGGAAATTTATACTCTATATTTAGGCAGTTAAGAGGCGGTAAAGAACTCTTCCTGTTGCTTCTGATTCTCAATTCCCTTAAGGTCAAAACGGTCCATATGTCAAACAGTTCAAGGTGGCATATTCTGGTGCCCTTCAATTTCTAGTCTTGTATCTTATTTTTACTCTCTTCCAGCCTATTTCATTATTGTATTTCAACTCTTAGCCTTTTATCTTTACTCAGTTTTTAACTCTTTTTTTCACTTCTCATGGTTCAGTTAAAAATAAGATCATTAAAATTTAATATTACCTCCTTTCCTACTTTTTTCATCTACATACCCTTTAAGATTTTTTATTATCTTTTTAATGTGTTCTTATCACGGCATACAAGAAGCATAAATCCTAAGTTATATTTTAAAAGGGAGCTCATCAAACACAAAAGACACATACATATATTAGATAATTCCATTTACAGTCGTCCCTCAGTAGCTGCAAGGGATTGGTTCTAGGACCCCCCAAAGACACCAAAATCCACAGATGTCTAAGTCCCTTATATTAAATGGCATAGTGTTTGCATATAACCTACACGCATCCTCCTGTATACTTAAATCATCTCTAGATTACTTATAATACCTAACACAATGTAAATGCTATATAAATAGTTGTCATACTGTATTTTTTAATTTATATTATTTTTATCATTGTGTCTTTTTTTTAATATTTTCAATCTGTGGTTGCCTGAATCTGTGGATGCAGAACGTGCAGATATAAAACGCTAACTACATTTGAAGAACAGAAACAGGCAAAATTATTATGTGCTGTTAGAAATCAAGATAAAGGTTAAACTTGTGGGCTACAGAGACAATAACTTGGAAAGGGGCATGGAGAACTTCTAAGATGCAGGAACGTACTGTTTCTTGATCTGGGTGTTGGCTATATGGGTGTGTATGTTTTGTAAAATTTCATCCAATTGCCACTTAGGTGTATTTTTTTGTAGCCATGTTATACTTTAATAAAAAGTGAATAAATAAACCTAAGAAGAAAAAAAATAAAGAGGGTGGCTATGTAAATTACAGCTAGCCATTGGATGCCTTTGGAGAAGCAGCTGGAGAAGCTGCTGCAGTCAGATACCAGGGACAAGAGAAGGCTTTACTCAACCTGTGCTACTAAGGATGCTTTACTCTCTCATGTCCCTCAAACCTTTGAATACTCCAAAACCTATAGGTTAGGCCTTCCCTGGTCATAGTCTCTCTGTGCAAACAACACACCTGACTTATCAAGGGCCTGCAATCTCACTCACCTATCCATCTTCTAATATTATCAGCTGTGTACAGTACTTTGAACAATGCCTGGCTATAAAGTAAATAACAGATATAAATGTAAAATGTTACATGATTCCAAGAGTTCATGTCTTTTTCTCTCTCCTCTCCAGACTGTTCATTAGCTAGATAATGAAAGAGGCATTATCTGCAATGGGGAGCAGTGGGCAATGAAGGCACAAGGGAGGGCAACCTGATTCTTTAAGGTGATGGGGGAGGCTTGAGGAAAACCATCTGGAGGAAGTTTCATCTCAGCTACCTCCAGATGGTTTTCTTCCTGGAGAAAGTTGTGCTCTCCAGGATTTAGGCAAATGGAGTGGGGAACAATAGGGAGAGTGTTCCAAGGTGAGATGACCACATGGGCAAAGGCCTGCAGATAACAAGCGTGTAACTCTTGAAGAACTGAAAGAGACTCAGTCTGGAAGGTTCCCAACACTTTCACACCATGAGCACCTTAAAATCTACGGAATTTTGTCAAACTGCCAGATTGGGGAGGTAGTCAGGAGGTCTCATCTGAGAAGAAAGTCCCTTTTTGAGCAGTAAGGTAGCTGTGAACCTCCGCATGAGAGAAGCAGAAAGACAGGTCTGAGTGAGGCCTTTTGGAACCCTTGTCTGCTGTTAGCCTTGTATTTCCAGGTTGCTCCATCAACCTTGCTGGTAGATTTCCAAAAGGTGTCTCTTGATGTGTGGCTTCTCCCATATCCTCTTGCATAATGGTTGAAGAGAAACTGACTACAGTTTTAAAAACAGAATAAACTGCCCCGCTGAGGATCAACAACTTCACTGAGCCTACCATACCCAGTGAAGTATTGCAACCCAAGGTATCCCTGAGCTTTGGGTCCACTAGGAAAGATTGTGGGGCCTAGGCAGGAGACCAAAACTACCTTTCTTCACTCCTTTTCTATGTTCCACAAGGAGAACAGCAAACTGCTCTGTATACTATAAATTCTAAAGCAACAATTAAAATAACAAAACAGAACTGTAGCTAAGAAGCCAAAAAGGAGATAAAAATGGAATCATAAAAAAAACTCAATCCAAAAGAAGGCAGAAAAAAGGGAAAAGAAAATTAAGAACAGATGGAACAAATAGAAAACACATGGCAAGATGATAGGCTTAAACCTAAGCATATTATAATCACTTTAAATGTAAATGGTCTCATAAACATAGATGCAAAATTTTAGCAAAATCAATTGAACAATATAAAAAAAGGTCATTGCATCATGACCAAGTAGGGTTAATCTCCAGGATGCAAGGTTGTTTCAGCATTCAAAAAATCAGTCTGTAATTCACTATGCGAACAAACTAAAATGTATTTACTGTCTCAAAAGATATTGTATTAGTCCCTTCTCATGCCTCTAATAAAGACATACCCAAGACTGGGTAATTTATATAGGAAAGAGGTTTAATTGACTCACAGTTCTATAGGGCTGGAGAGGCCTCAGGAAACTTACAATCATGGTGGAAGGGGAAGCAAATATATCCTTCTTCTCGTGGTGGCAGGAAGGGGAAGGAGTGCCAAGTGAAGTGGGAAGCCCCTGATAAAACCATCAGATCTCGTGAGTACTCACTCACTATCATGAGAACAGCATGCGGGAAACCAACCTCATGATTCAATTATCTCCACCTGGTCCTGCCCTTGACATGTGGGGATTATTACAATTCAAGGTGAGATTTGGGTGGGGACACAGAGCCAAACCATATCAGATGTAAAACAAAATTGACACAATCCAACATCGATTTCTGATAAAAATAACTCTCTGCAAACTAGGAAAAGAATGAAAACTCCTCAATCTGATAGAGGACATCTATGAAAAACCTACAGATAAAATCATACTTAATCATAAAAGAGTGAATACTTTCCTTCCTAAAATCAGGAATAAGACAATGATGTCTATTCCTACCACCTATTCAACATCGTACTGGAGCTTCCAGTAAGTATAATCAAGCAAGAAAATAAAATATGTGTTTTCCAGCTTACAAACTATGAAATAAAAGTGTCTTTATTTGCAGATAACATAATCATCCTTGAGAAAATTCAATATACTCTACAAAAATGCTGCTAGAACTAGTGAGTTTAGCAAGGTTGAAGAATACATTACCAATACCCCAAAGAATCAATTTTATTTCTATATACTAGCAATGAATAATCAGAAAGTTTTCTAAAATGCAGTTTGCAATAGCTTTAAAAACATTAAATACTTAGAGAAAAGTCCAACAGCAGATATGAAGAACGTATACACTAAAAACTATAAAATATTGCAGAGAGGAATTAAAGAAGACCTAAAGAAATGAAAAGCTAAATATATCTTGTTCAGCATTTAGAAGACTCACTATTGTTAAGAGAGCAACACTCCCCATTTAGCCTATTGATTCAACACAATCCCAACCAAAATTCCAGCATGTATTTTTTGAGAAATTAACAGGCTTTCTAAAATTCACAGGAAAATGGAAAGGATCTAGCATAATTAAAACAATTTCAATAAAGAAGAAAGTTGTAACACTATCACTACCTGCTTTCATTATAAAAGTATAGTCATCAAGACAGTGTGATTATTATTGATTAGACAAATATCAAATAGATTAATGGAATGAAATAGAGAATACTGAAATAGACTCACATTATATAGACAACGGATTTTTGACAAAGAATAAATGGCAATTCCATGGAGAAAAGACAGTCTTTTTAAAAAATGGTGCTGAAACAATTAGATATTCATAAGCAAAAAAAACCTTTTGTTTATACCTCATTTCATATAGAAAAATATACTCAAACATAGATCAGATGAAAACCTAATGTAAAATCTAAACCATAAAACTTTTAGAAAACCAACATGAGGAAAAATCTGTGTAGCCCTTGGATCAGGCAAAGATTTCCTAGATATGATACCACAATCATGATCCATAAAAGAAAAAAAAGAATAAATTTATAAAGACACACTGTTAAAAGAATGAAAAGACTCGGACTGAGGGAAAATATTCACAAAGCACAAATCCGATAAAGACCTTGTATCTGGAATATACAAAGAACACTCAAAATTCAATATTAAGAAAACAAAAAGCCCAATTTTAAACATTGCAAAATGATTTGAACATACACTGCACAAAAGAAAATATTAATATATGTATAGCTAATAAGCAAATTAAAAGATATTCAACATCATAGTCATTAGGAAAATACAAATTAAACTACTAAATGTTGATTAGAAAGGCTGGAATTTAAAACTAGCAATACCAACTGTTAACAAGGATGTGAAAAAACTAAAATTCTCACACATTGGTAGTGGGAATGTAAAAGGCTACAACCACTTTGGAAAATAGGTTGGATGGCTTTTTTAAATGTTATACACAGAGCTACCATATGATCCAGCGATTACACTCCTAGGAATTTATCCAAGAAAAAATAAAATAGCTCATACAAAGATCTGTATACAAACGTTCTTAGCAGCTTTATTTGCAATAGACAGAAACTGGAAAAAACAAGACCAAAAACAAATGTCCATTAACAGGGTCAATGAATAAACAAATTTTAGTATATCCACACAATTAAATACTACTTGGCAATAAAGAAACACACACAGATGAGACTCAAAATAATTATGCTAGGGAACATAAGTTAGACTTTAAAGAATACTTACCATACAATTGTCTTTATGTAAAGTTCTTTAAAAAGTAAAAAAATTAAATTGGAAAGGAAGAAGTCAAATTATTCTTGTTTGCCGATGACATGATCTTATATTTAGAAAAACCTAAAGACTCCACAAAAATCTCTCAGAACTGAGAAACAAATTCAGTAAAGTTGCAGTATATAAAATCAACACACAAAAATCCATAGTGTTTATACATACTAACAGTGATCAATCTGAAAAAGAAATCAAGAAGACAATCCCACGTATAAGAGCTACAAAATATTAAATACCTAGGAATAAATTTAACCGAAGGAGTGAAAAATCTCTATAAGGAAGACATAAGACACTGATAAAAAAAATTGAAGAGAGCACACACAAAAAGCAAAGATATCCCATACACATAGATTGGAAGAATTAATATTGTTAAAATATCTATACTTCCCAAAACATCTATAAGATTCAATGCAATTCCTATCAAAATACAAATAACATTCTTCACAGAAATAGAAAAATAATCCTAAATTTTGTATGGAACCACAAAAGACCCCAATTAGCTAACACAATCCTGAGCAAAAAGAACAAAGCTGGAGGCATCACACTACCTAATTTCAAAATATCCTACCAAGCTATAGTAACCAAAACAGCATGGTACTAGCATAAAAGTAGACACAGATCAGTGGAACAGAACAGAGAACCCAGAAATAAATCCATGCACTTAATAGTCAACTCATTTTTGACAAAGTTGCCAAGAACATACACTGAGGAAAGGACAGTCTCTTAATAAATAGTGTTGGGAAAACGGTAAGAATCAATACGCAGAAAATGAAACTAGACCCCCATCTTTCACCATATACAAAAATCAACTCAACATGGATTAAGCATTTAAATGGAAGATCTGAAACCACTGAAAACTGAAATTACTAAAAGAAAACATTGGGGAAACATTACAGGATATTGGTCTGGGCAAAGATTTTTTGAAAAAGACCTCAAAAGCACAGGTGACCAAAGCAAAATTAGACAAATGGGATTACATCAACCTAAAAAGTTTCTGCACAGCAAAGAAAACAAACAACAACGTGAAGAGGCAACCTACAAAAAAGGAGAAAATATTTGCAAACTACCCATCTGACAATGGATTAATAACCAGAACATGTAAGAAACTCAAACAATTCAACAGCAAAAAAAAAAAAAAATCTGATTTAAAAATGAGCAGAAGACCTGAATAGATGTTTCTCAAAAGTAGACATACAAATGGCAAAAAGGTTTATTAAAAAGTGTTCAAAATCATTGACCATCAGAGAAATTGACCATCAGAGAAATGCAAATCAAAACTACAATGATATACTATCTCACCTCAGTTAGAATGGGTATTATCAAGAAGATGAAAAATAACAAATGTTGTCAAGAATGTAGAGAAAGGGGAATGCTCATACACTGTTTGTAGAAACATAAAGTAGTACAGCCATTTTGGAAAGCAGTATAGATATTTCTCAAAAAACTAAAAATAGAAGTACCATATGATCCAGCATCCCACTGCTGGGTATCTATCCCAAAAAAAAAAAGGGCAATCAGTATATCTGCACTTTCATGTTTATTGCAGCGCTATTCACCATAGCCACAATATGGAATCAATGTAAGTGCCCATCAATGATGAGGGAATAAAGAAAATGTGGTAATTATCCACAACAGAATATTACTCAACCATAAAAAGGAATGAAGTCCTGTCATTTGCAGCAACATAGATGTAACTGGAGGTCATTAGAGTAAGTGAATTAAGAAGGCACAGAAAGACAAACATTGCCTGTTCTCACTCATACGTGGGCACTAAAAGGGCAGATCTCACAGAGGTTGAGAGTAAAATAGTGGTTACCAAGCCAGGGATGGGAAGACAGGAGGGTAGATTGAAGACAGGTTGGTTAAGAGGTACAAAACTACAGTTAGAAGAAACAAGTTCTAGTATTAAATAATATAGTAGAAAAATTATAGTTAACAATAATTTATTGTATATTTACATATTTCTTTCTTTTTTTTTTTTTTTTTTTGAGATGGAGTCTCGCTCTGTCACCCAGGCTGGAGTGTAGTGGCACGATCTTGACTCACTGAAACCTCCACCTCCTGGGTTCAAGCGATTCTCCTGCCTCAGCCTCCTGAGTAGCTGGGATTACAGGCACACACTACCACGCCTGGCTAATTTTTGTATTTTTAGTAGAGACAGGGTTTCACCATGTTGGCCAGGCTAGTCTCAAACTCCTGACATTGAGATCCACCCATCTCAGCCTCCCAATGTATTTCAAAACAGCTAGAAGAATTGTAATGTTCCCAACACAAAGAAAAGAAAATGTTTGAGGTGATGAATATCCCAATTACCCTGATTTGGTGACTACACATTGTATATAGAGGTATCAAGATAGCATGTGTACATCAAAAATATGTAAACTATTACCAATTTTAAAAGTTTTTAAAATATTAAACAAATTTATAGTGGCAGGAAGCAGATCAGTGGCAGCCTAGGATGGGTGGGGAGTCAAGAAAAGGAGGCTACAAGGAAGGGGTTATAAAGTAGCATGAGAAGAGCTTTGAGGGTGATGAATATGTCCACGAACTTGATTGTGGAAATGGTTTCATGTAGGTATACATATGTCAAAACTTATACAATTACATTCTTTAAATATATGCAGTTTGCTAAGTGTGAGTTACACCTCAATTTTTAAAAACAGAAAAAAGAAAGCCTACAATGGTTTCACATCATCGCATTGCAATTTGAATCATGTTCTAACCTCTTATTGCAGCCTCAAGGTCCTGCATACTCTGGGCCACATCCAACCACCCACCCTCTCATCTTATTCTACACATTCTCTCCTCCCTCTCTCCTCTGCTGCCTCAGTCCCAATGGCCTCCCTTCTCATCCCTCCAAGCCCTTTCCCACGCCAAAGGCTTTCACTTGCTTTTCCCTCGTCCCCAGGACATTCCCTTGGCTGGTCTTCAACTTCAGGGCTCAACAAACCCATCACTCCTGCAAGAGGTCTTCCTGATGACCCAGACCGAGTAGGTAGGACGGCACCATTCCTCTCTGGCAGTCAGGGTCTACTTCCTCCATAATAGTTTTCATCACCTGAAAGCAGCATGTGTATTTGTTACCTACTTGTTTACTATCTATCTCTCTTTCCTAAAACACAAATACTTTAAAGATAGGGACCTTCCCTGTCATGTTCATTGCTTTATCCCCAGTGCCTCATGCACTCCCCGGCACATGGTAGTAACTTGGTAAATATTTTTTAATGAATGACTAAATCAAGCATTCTATTAACGTATTGAAAGTAAAAACCACTGAAGTGTTTTCTTTTCATTAAATATTAGCATTCTATACATGTAAGAGAGCTTGGTTTTAAGGCATTTATTTTCCTATTTTCATACTTTTAATCCATTCATCTTTCTGACTTTCAGGAATGCTTACTTTTTTCAGTTTACAAGCCAAAATCAGCTTCTTTGATGTATATAAACTCCAGGCTGCTTTCTGACAGGGTCCTAATAATTTGTCCTATGGTATTGTAATTCATCAAAAACTCATGTTTAAAACAAAGAATTCAGGAAATATTGGTTGTGTAAAATGCAGGGCATCTCCAGGCAAAAGTAAGGGTTATAATGTGGTTGACATATTGGGATGGTGGGAGCAAATGAAATAACCACTGTGTATGAAAAATATTATTTTGTTTCTGGTCTCTAAAGGTGAAAACTGAGTAAGTTAATAGCCTCTCTGAAACTTAAAATCACACAGTTAATAAGTAGCAAAACCAAGACTCCAATCAAAGTCTTCTTACATCAACCAGAGGAACCATGGAGAATGACTTCAGTTTTTAACATGTTCACTCAGAAATAATCGATGACACTTCTATTCACTTCATACTGGCCAAATCAAATCACATAGCCTTGCCTAATTTGAAGGAGATGGAAGGACAATCACTCCATGCTCCTAGAAGGAGGACAGAAATACTAGTGGGCAGCATGAATGTCTTCCTCCAGGCTCAGTTATGGAAGAGCTTGAAGAGAACACCATGAGCCAGTGTATAGCCAGGGAAGGCTTTGCTTTTGAGCATCGAGTGGCATTATCAAAAATTGAGGTTCTATTAAGGCATCAAGCTGAGGGATCTGTGATTTCATGGGGTCTGACTTCAGCCTATGAACATCTAGAAATATTAGTGGTGTTCTTACCCTAGGAGCACATAGGCCTGTGTCCTGGCATTGCATTTAAAGTAAGAGGCACTTAAGAACCATTTCATCTTGATGTAAATAAAGATTAGTGTATGTCTATTTGCTCAGCTCTGCAGGTAGGAACTTTCTAATCACATTCCCACCTCTAGTCAGTAACTAGGGCCCCACACCCCCAGCCCTGCCAAAACATCTTCCAAACTGCTGAAAGGTTTACTTGCTGACTTTGCAAAAGCCCCTCTGAAATTCCTCCTTTCTTAGAAAGTGGTTCTGGCAGGTGCTGAACAGTTCACACCAGATGGGATGCATTTACACAGAATCAGAACCAAAGAACACCCATCTCTTTGTGCATGGCCACAGGCTGGACAGAAAACATCATCTGAAGCTCTGCTTTTCACACTGGTCAGATGTGGCAATCCTGTGTGTGCATGCTTTTGGTGAAAACGATTTCCCCGATTAAGAAAATATTTAAAACAAATATACAGTTATAGGTTTTTTTTTCACTGTATATACTATTCCTTTCACATGCTCATGATTTTGAATCAAAGCCAAAAAGATGTTCTCTAGTCTTGTGCATCTTTGAAAGTTGGAGCTTGGATCTGTCCATTCGCTATTTAATTTATGAGAGAAACATATTCTGACTACAACCATATGCCAGTTACATTCATTTCTTTTTCCAGGACTTTTCTCTGTGGAGTTGGAAAGTTCACCTTCAAGTTCAGAAAGATAGTATGTTGCAGTTTGGGTTCCTTGGTAAGTGGGCTTTGAGATGGAAATTAGCATGTAGGACACTTCATAGGTCATTCTTTCAAGTTCTATACCTGTGGAGAGAAAGGAAGGACAAAGGATGGGGCAAAGGGAAAAACCAGGCTGCAGCAAAGGCTTCCACAGCAGTTTCAGCTAACCCCACCAGGAGCTCAGGATTTGGAAAGGCCTGTCAGATTTACCCACTTTCCAGAAAAGGTTATGGGCTTTCTGCATTAAGCAGTCATTGGATGCAGGTTGCCCCAGAAAGGGAGCATGGTGTTGGGTTAAGGCAACTCCCTCCAGCACAAGACGATTTCCAGAGAAGGCCAGAAGCATTTTCAGGCACTGGAATATCATTTATCCCTGAAGAGGGATCTTGGTGGCACATTACAGCATCCACTTCATATCTTATATTCATAACTGGAATTAGGCAGTATGATGTCATAGGAATAGACCATTGGACCAAATGAACACTAGACCAAGATTGTCCTTCAAACACTGGGAAAGCAACCAATACTGAGCAACTCAGGCCATCACAAGGGCTCTGCATCCAATAAAGATCAGGCCTTCAGCCAAGTTCTTGGCATTTCTGATCCTGCCCTAAACTCTCTAACACACAGTCCATGTCCACCTTCCAGGCTGCACTAGCTGGTAAGTGGAAGCTAAGAATAGACTTGTGACACCCCAACACTTACTTCTGATTTCATTCCTGAGAAGCTGATCTCGACTAACAAAGAGCCCGCTGCTATAAACCAACCTGTGCCTCTAAGTCAGACCAACTCACCCAAAAGCACTGACTGGGAGGATAACAGCTACTCCAACCCTTATATTTTTCTCAGGACCTTACTCTTATTCCCAGATACAAGCATTTGTTTGGCTCAGGGATATCTTTTATCTTGCTGGCTTCTAGGAAGAGTTGAAGGAATATGACTTCCCCAGCTGAGGTCCTCATCATCTGTGCTTCCAGTTTCTTATCACACTCTCTCTTGCACTTATCAATGTTTCAAATAACCCCTGGGTGCAAGCTAGGACATGCCTGGTGTTGTGGGTTGAATTATATCCCCCAAAATGGCATATTGAAATTCCAACCCCCAGTACTTCAGAATGTGCCCTTATTTGGAAATAGGCTTTTTACAGAGAGAATCAAGTTAAAATGAGGTCATTAGAGGAGGCCTCTACCACCAGCCCAATATGACTGGCATCCTTATTGAAAGGGGAAATTTGGATACGTGAACACACACACGGAGAGAGGACACCATGTGACATGAAGGCAAAGATCAAGGTGACACATCTATGAGCCAAGAAATCCTGAAGGTTGCCAGCAAACCATCAGAAGTAAGGGAGAGGCATGGAAGAGAGTCTTCCTCAAGGGCCTCAGAAGGAACCAACTCTGCCAACAGCTTGATCATGGACTTCTGGCCTACAGAACTGTGTGACAATAAATAACTATTGTTTTAAGCCACCCGGTTTGTGGTACTTTGTTAGTGTGTTTTAGGTACAGCCCTAAAACACAGATACACCTGGGAAGCTTGTCTGTTCATAGCTTGCATCCTGGTCATCATACTAGAAAGAGCTTAAGGTCACAGGGCCATCAAGTGAAAGAGGTGACAACAGTACATTAGAAGCTAAACCATCTTCAAATCCAAACCATAATGAGATATCACCTCACACCCATTAGGATGCCCATTATCCCCTGCCAAAAAATAAATAAAATAGAAAATAACAGAAGATGGTAAGGATGTGGAGAAATTAGAACTCTTGTGCATTGCTGGTGGGAATGGAAAATGCTGTAACTGCTTTGGAAAACAGTACAGAGGTTCCTCAAAAAAACAAAAATAGAGCTACCATATGATCCAGCAATTTTACTTCTCGGTATATACCCAAAAGAATTGAAAGTGGCATCTCCCAGAGATATTTGCACATCCATGTTCATTGCAGCATTATTCACAAATAGCCAAAAGGTGACAGCAACCCAAATGTCCATCAACAGATGAATGGATAAAGAAAATGTAGAATATACATACAATTGAATATTACTCATCCTTAAAAAGGAATGAAATTCTGACATGCTACAACACAGGTGAACTTTAAGGATATTACACTAAGGAAAATAAATCAGTCACAAAAAGATTAATACTGTGTGGTTTCACTTATATGAGATAGCTAGGGTAGACAAAATCATAGCGATACAAAGTAGAACGGCAGTTACCAGGGGGTGGGGGAGACAGGAATGGGAGTTGTTAATGGGTACAGAATTTGAGTTTTGCGAGATAGAAAGTTCTAGAAATCTGTTACACAATTATGTGAATAGAGTTAGCACTACTGAACTGTAGGCCTAAAACTTGATAGGAGGGTTAGCTTATTATGTGGGTTTTGTTTTCATCACAATTTAAAAGGGAGAAGAAGGAGAAGGAGAGGGAGAAGAAGCAGCAGCTGCAGCAAGGTCATCTGGCCCCCCGCCCAGCATTCCACCTTCCATGGCACACCACCTCTCTAAGCCTGCAGCATCCACATCAGTCATTTGCAGGAGGACAAAGGACAGACTGGTCAGTCAACAAAAGCACTGCCCATCCAGATCAAGAAAGGGGGCATTCGTTGAGCATCTACTGGGGCCTCAGACTATCCCTGATCACACATGACCTTATCAGCCACCCCGGTGGAACAGTCCTCATTTCTCCACCTCCTAAATAAGAAACTGAAGCTCAGAGGGGTGAAGGGGACTGTTTTGAGTCACTTGGCTGCTGGAAGTTCGAGCTGGGATCTTCTTCCCCCACCCCAGTTGCCTGTTTGATGACTGCTTAAACTTTGTGAAATCATTTGGCTTGACAGAATGCTTAAGAGCTTTTCAAAGTGGTAACTGGAACTCACTCTGCCACACGTATTTGTGTATTTGTCTGTTTTTCTTCTCTTTTCTTTCTCTTTTTCTGGAAGGAAAAAGCAATCATCTAGTGAAAAATATTTTCCTTAGAGATCACTTAAGGTATTTGGCAATTTGGATTGCCAAATATCACAAAAGAGACTAAGAAGTAAGACATGGGACTGAGGGCAAAAAGAAAACATTCAACAAGTCCGAAAAGGCCAAGGAAATGCTTCAGGCTCACTTCCCTTGCCACCGCCCCAGACGTCCACACCGCCTTTTGAGTTGGCAAACCCTTGGGAGGCTGAGTCAGGGTGGCCTGGGCCACCTCTTGCCAATCTTGGGAACCCTCTAGAATCCTGTTTGAAAGCAAACCAACTGCTCCCACCCCCCAAGTCTTGGTGTGTTCGAATTTCTTTTCCCATGCCAAAATCTGATTTCCTGTTTCTAAGAAGAAAAGCTTTAAAATGTCCCTTAAAACAAAAAAAGACTCCTTAAGGGAGCTTAAACATCAAAGGACTCTTAAAAAGTAGGGTTTTGTTTGGTTAAGTATACGTAAATCAGAAAATTTTCAATTAAGTTTTCCTTTAAGGTGCTAAGGTTTCTTACTGGATTTGGGCAAAAGATTTGTGGACTAACCATATAGATTCTTGGGGGCTATAAGGAGCGTTAATCTGGTCCAATCTGCTTATTGCAGTGATAAGTGACTTACCTAAGGTCTCACAGCAAGCAAGTGTAAAAAATAGACCTAAGCCCAGGCTCTTAATGCCCAGTTTGGTGTGGTTTCCATGCATCTGCCTATTTCTCCTACAACAGAAAGTTACAAGATTTTTTTCAAAATCGAAGGTTGAAGTTCGAAACAGGCAGAAGGAAGCTATTAAGTGTGTAGGTTTTTTTTTAAGTTATGAGTTTGAAACAAGTAACTGTGACTACTAACCTTTTCCTGAGCACTTAGCATGTACATGTGTTGTTCATTTAATTGCCTCAATTCTATGAAGTATTTACTATGTTTTCTTCATTTTACAAAGGAAAAGGGAAAGTGAGGGAAGACAATGATTCAAATTCTTAGTTTAAGCTTTTACTCTATTTTCTGAGTGGCCAGAACATGCCAGGCTTTTTCTGATACCTGGTATCAACTCATCTTCAAAGCAACCCAGAGACATTGGTATTATTGTCTCCATTGCACAAATGAGAAAATCAGATCTTAAGAAAATCAATCTGCCCAAGTGCTCACCACCAGGAAGTAGCACAGTGAGGATTAGAACTTAAATCTGGCCCTCCATGCTTATTCTCTTTCTGTTACCCTCTTGACAGAGTCGTTGGGAGGGTCAAAGCAGATCATTTAAGTGAAAGCCTTCTGTAAAAACTGTAAAGAATTTAACAGATTTGAGGGATTATCATGCTTAAATCTAAGTTGTTCTTTTTTCCTAAATTTCCACTCTGGCTTGTAACAACAGGATCTAAGAGCCAGGCATGACAAGGGGCCCAGGTCTCTCAGCTGAAAAACATTTTCCAAATAAAAGATTTGATTGAGCACATGCTTGTTTTCCTTGGGTGGGTCCCAACCACCCAAATGTTTAATTGGGTTGGAAAGTTTTGATCCTGATGGCCATTGTTGGAGGCAAATGAGAAACGTGGAGCCTTGCTCTCTGACCCTGAAGGAAAGAAGAAAGCCCGAAAAAACAGAGCTATAATCCTGCTAGCAGTTATGCCATCCAAATAGCAGCATTATTAGACCAAATGCTGCTTCATTCATTGGCTTATTTGTTTATTTGGGGCTATCTTATGAGCATCTGCTGCAAGCCACACTCTGCTTTAGGCACAAGGAATACAGAGAGGAATGAGCTACAGTTGTTCCCTTGAGGACCTCATAGTCCTGAGGACTTCTGCAAACATTCCCCATGAACATTTCTCTACCCTTCCTGGTCATATTCTGTTCTTCCGTCTTTGCCCCACACAATTTATGCCAGTGTTATGGCTGGATAGTGTCCCTCCATAATTTGTATGTTGAAGACCTAACCCCCAGGACCTTAGAATGTGATTATATTGGAGATACATTCTTTAAAGAGGTTAATTAAGGGAGCTGGGCGTGGTGGCTCACGCCCGTAATCCCAGCACTTTGGGAGGCCGAGGTGGGCAGATCATCTGAGGTTGGGAGTTTGAGACCAGTCTGACCAACATGGAGAAACCATGTCTCTACTAAAAATACAAAATCAGCCTGGCGTGGTGGCGCATGCCTGTAATTCCAGCTACTTGGGAGGCTGAGACAGGAGAGTGGCATGAACCCAGGAGGCAGAGGTTGCAGTGAGCCAAGATTGCACCATTGCACTCCAGCCTGGGCAACAAGAGCAAAACTCCGTCTCAAAAAAAAATTAATAAATAAATAAAAGAGGTAATTAAGGTAAAATGAGGTCATTAGATGGGCTTTAATCCAATCTGGTGATTTTATAAGTGGAGATTAAGACACAGACACACACAGATGGAAGACTCTCTGAAGACACAGGGAGAAGACAGCCATCTACAAGCCAATAAGGGAGGCTTCAGAAGAAATAACCTTGCCTACACCTTGATCTTGGACTTCCAGCCCCCAGAATTATGAGAAAAGGAATTTCTGTTGTTTAAATCACCCAGTTTGTGGTTCTTTGTTACAGCAGCTCTAGAAAACTATTACAACCAGCCAAAGCATTGAGTCTGATCTGCTGAGTATGAGAGTTATGTCTGTGTTCATTGAATGAAAGGAAGAATGAATAAAACTATCATGGGCCAATCCTCAAGGTGTTTGCAGTCTTAAGGGGACCCTAGTGTTTTTTCTTATTCTGTGCTGTGTGCTGGAGGCACTGAGATGAAAGCTGTGGACCTTCTTCATGGAATGTGTATGCTAGCAGGGAAACCAAGCTTACAAGTATTTCATACATAATAATTTTCGAAGTACTATGATAGAGGAATGCAACACCTGAGAACCTGGAAGAATCCCCTAATCTAGTGAGGAGAAGAGAAGGTCAGGGAAGGCCTCTTGGAGAAGAAACCACCCAAGCTGTCATGAAGTACAAACAGCTGTTACCCAGCAGGTTGTGGAGACAAACCATTCCAGGTATGTGCCCAAGCCTGGAGGTACCCAGGCCAACCACAACAAGTCAGTGCAAGAGAAGGAACAGAGAGAGAGAGAAGGCTGGAGTGAGGCAGAGACCAGGTCATGGAGGCAGCGACCAACAGAGGCAACGGCTAGGTCATGGGGGGCCTGTGACAGGGTGAAGGCACTTGGGTTATAGAGTTAGAGAACTTAAGTTCTCTAACTGTAGCCAGCTAGAAGCTACATTTCCCAGCTTTGTTTGGAGCTAGATGTGGTCATGAGACTAAGTTCAGACCAGGGCGACACATGCAGAAGTGATGTGTGTGACTTTCAAGTCACTCCCAAAGACAGGCTCAGCTACTTGCTAATTTCCCAGCCTAATTATTTCTGCAGGCTGGAAAATAGAAACAACTGGAGTGGTCTCAGAAAGACACAATGCAGACAACAGACTGACCTACTAGCCTGGATTCCTAGCTGCCCTAAAAGGACAAGAGTCCTGCTCTCCCTGAACTATTGCCTCTGGACTATTACAGAAGAGAGGAATAAACACCTGCTTAAGTTAGGCCACTGAATACCTGGGTCCCTGTATTACCCCAGCTTCACTTGTACCCTAAGCATCATACAGCCTCATTTTGGAGATTGTGGACAATACACTAAATCCTCAATGTTATCAATAGGTTCTTAGGAACTGTGACTTGAAGCAAAACAGCAGGTCCTTGAATAATGTCTCACATTCACCTTTCTTTCCTTATAATCTTGATAAGAAAAATAATTGGTTTTTATACTTTGTTTCACAGTCACATGGAATCCTATGCAGCCACAAAAAGGATGAGTTCATGTCCTTTGTAGGGACATGGATGAAGCTGGAAACCATCATTCTCAGCAAACTATCACAAGAACAGAAAACCAAACACCACATGTTCTCTTATAAGTGGGATCTGAACAATGAGAACACATGGACATAGGGAAGGGAACATCACACACCAGGGCCTGTTTGGGAGTGGAGAGGCTAGGGGAGGGTTAACATTAGGAGAAATACCTAATGTAGGTGACAGGTTGATGGGTGCAGCAAACCACCATGGCACGTGCATACCTATGTAACAAAACTGCACGTTCTACACATGTACCCTAGAACTTATAATAAAAAAAGAGAGAGAAAAAAAAAGAAACTATGGATGACATTAGGTGAGGACTTACTATGCTACTTGACACATAGTGGGTCTGTGATTAGTCAATATACCTGATATAGTTTGGCTGTGTTCTCACCCAAATCTCATCTTGAACTGTAGCTCCCATAATCCCCACATGTTGTGAGAGAGGCCCAGTGGGAGGTAATTGAAACACGGGGACAGGTTTTGCCCTTGCTGTTCTTGTGATAATGATTAAGTCTCAAGAGATCTGATGATTTTATAAAGGGCAGTTCCACTATGCATGTTCTCTTGCCTGCCACCATGTAAGACGTACATTTGCTCCTCCTTCACCTTCCACCATGATTGTCAGGCCTCCCCAGCCATGTGGAACTCTGAGTCGATTAAACTTATTTTTCCTTATAAATTACCCAGTCTCAGGTATTTCTTAATAGCAGTATGAAAATGGACTAATAACATACCCACAGCTATCATTAGGATGAACTGATAGAATGTGGTGACTCACTAGATGTGGTGGCAAAAGAAAAAGAAAAGCTAATCAGACTCTGAAATTTCCAACTTGGGTGTCAGTGAGAATGATGGGACTCCTAATAGAAATGTGGGGAGGAAAGAGGAGGACAATTTGGGGAGAGAAAATAAAGGCAGGCTCTGGCCATGCTGAGTTTGAGTTGCTGGCAGGGCTCACAGAAAGAGATGCCAACAGGCAATTTGAAATTTGAGCTGTAGCTGAGGTCTGGAAACAAAGAATGGGGTGGGGGTGGGGGAATTGAAGCTGTGGAAATAATGAGGTTTCTAAGGGAGAAAGCTGCAGACGCAGATATTGGAAGGATAATGAGGAGACAAGTCTGGCTGGAGCAAAGGTTTCTAAGGGTGCAAAAGGGAGGGAGCACTGGGAAGGGGTTGAGCCCAGTGTGGCAGAACTTCAAGAGCCCTGTGGAGGAGGAGCTGAGACCTCAGTCTTCAGGCAAAGGGGGCCATGGTGGCTTTGAATGGGGAGGGCAATGATGAAGATCCTACCTGTTGTGCCAGAGCATCCCTGATGGGGCCAGAGGGATGCTCTTCCTCTGCCAGACAAGCAGCTACCACTTACAGCCATTTCACTGCAGTCTTAATAAACACATGTGAAGTACAGCAAACAACCTCAATGAACACGCTGCCTCTAGGTGGTGGGTTATGGGATTATAGGATTTTTTAATACAAAAAGTTAGATGAAAGTGAATTTTTTTAAAAAAAGGTCTGAGTGTGTACTATAAACTTGGTACATCAAAGCACTTTCAGCCTGAATATTTTGGAGAGATTTTTAAGGAGACAATGAAACCAAAGAATTAGCCAGAGTGACTCCATGGAATGGAAAGTCACATCTTGAAGGAGGAGGCAAGACAGGTGACCCCTGCTCAGCCTTTCCATCCTTTAGTCAACCAATATGTATTGAGGGTTGCCCCCACTCTGCCACTTTCAGGGGCCGTCATTCATACCACATGGAGGGTCAAGGCAAGAAGTAAACAAACGTGTCAGGAGTTGTTGAGTGCTGGGGTGAAAAATAAAACTGGGTGAGGGATAAACAGAAGACACAGCCACCCCACCTCAGGGAAGTTCCCTCCAAGGTGATCTTAGAGCCCAGACAGAAGGCAGTGAGGGTGCCACACAGCTCTCAGGGATGGAATGTTCCAGGCCAAAAAGAAGCAGCAAACACAAAAGTCCTGAGGTGGGAGAGGGCATGACACGTTTGCGGAATGCCAGAAGAGGTCAAGGCTGGCATCAGGGTGAGGCAAGTGAAGGGCCTAGGGTGAAAATTTAAGGAAGCCTTCTTCTCAAGTTCCTGTAATTGCCCAGGCAGATGGCTTCCTTTCTTGCTTCACCTCAGTCCAAGCCCTGGTGGCAGTAACTGAGTCTGGGACGGGAAGAGTGGCAGCAGGGCTCAGCGGCCACAGGACTCAGACAACGGGAGCAGCAGAGAACACAAAGCCTCAGATGGCTCACTGCTCTGTCTCCCTAAGAAACTCAATATGAAGGTCCAAGAAATCCTATATGCCTGGAGAGTTATCCTAAGGGTGAGAGGAGAGTTTGGACCCACTTCTTAGTTGACTGAAGGATCTTCACTAAGAAGCAGGAAACGAGTTGTCTCCCAACATGACAAGGCTGTGCTACCTCAGGTACACATCCTTCCTACTCTGGACCCACATTTCCTTTGCTGTACCATGGAAGGATTGGATTCAATGAACCCAAGGTCCTCCCACCAGGAACCAGGTCCAAAATTTTATGATTCTATGAGCTCACAATAAACCTTTTTTTCTAAAGGAGCCTGGGGGTGCAGGGAAGGAAAAGAAAAGGAAGAGGCTCAAAGGCCTTCCCATCAAAAGCTCAAAGAAGACAAACGTTTTGTTCTTCCTCCCCATGTATTTCTAAGACACCCAGAGCTAGTTTCAAATAACCTGCTGGCCCAAACTTAGATTCTGGAATCAATCTCCCTTCATGGGAAGAAAGAGTTTCGCTAAGTTTGTGATGACCCAGGTGTCACCAACAGGCTCAAAATCTGCCATCCTGGCGAATGTTCGCATGCTGAGGCCTCCACTGACCAGAACCACAGTGGACGCCTGTGGAAGTGACCACTTCAAGAATCAGCTAATAAGTAGGAATGTTCTGTTTTGAACAAAGAGGTCCACTTGCAGCCAAGTTTTCCATTCATGAGCCTATCTGACACAGGTATAACTGCCCCTTTCCCTTTTTCCCTTAGGCTTTTCACAAGCTAGTTTCATTCCTTCTAGATTTCCAATAACTGCCCAGGGTTTAGAGTTTCTGAAGAGTTTCATATGTTGACATCCAACTTGACTTCTGCACCCAGGATCTGAGGCAAGAATTATTGTCATTCCCATTTTACAAATGAGGAAACTGAGGCTTTCAGAGAGAAAAGCTTGGAATAATCTCCCAAGTAGGCATCAGACTTGAAAAACTGACAGTGTGGCCCTGTAAAATCAGTGCTATAAAAGCTCGTGATAACTGGAAATTAATGGTGAAAAATGCCCCTGCTTTTGCACCAGTGAATCAATTCTCACTTCCATGCCTTATGAATATCCACCATCTACCCATCATGTCCCAGCTTTCCAGACAGCAGGGACACAGATGCCACACAATCCCTTCACCCTCCCTAACATCCTTGACCCTCTGTTCGGCTCTCAGCCATGCATTGATTCCTTCCTCCTTCCATTGCCCCTCAAAAAAGGTCCATGTGTATCAATTCTAGCCAAGAGAGCCCTAGAAGGATCACCGAGCCCTTAGTTCTGCCATCAGGCCAACTCCAGAGCAGGTTTGGGCTCCATTGGAGTGTGCTTCTATATCCTGCCATATGGAAAATTTTTGCAGAGCCTTAGAGAGGCCTCCGCCCTCTCTAATGGGTGGAGGGATGGAGACACTTAGATCCAGGACACCAGCGACTCTAACTTTCCATTATTGACTCACAGTGCCCTGCCCTAAAAGGCTATTGGGCCCAGACTACCCACAGTTTAGAATGCCAGGATTCAGTAGATGTATTTGCATATGCAGGATGAGCCAAAGAAGGGAAACTCTGGCCCCATCTAGAGGGAACGCCCCTGAGAGACATTTGCTGAAATGACCTGATAGCAAGAGCTGGAGAGGAGGGACAGTGATCTCCTGGGTCATAAAAGCACAGGACTTCACATGCAGAGCAAAGCCAGAAGGGCCCACCCTTGTCCAGGGTAGACCCGTGACAAGGGCAAGCAGGCTGAAAAGTTACCTTGATAAGTTACTTTGTTTTCACTCTGGGTTTTAGCCACCAAGGATCTGTTTCAAAGAGTAATGGAAGAAACAAAGACAAAGATTCTAGTCTTCTTGCAGCCTGCTTCAGGCAGGTCTAATTAAGAAATGTGTGAAAGAACCTCAGGAAAAGCTAGAAACATCAGAAGGAATTTCAGTTTGGCCTGGAAAAATCTTCTCCCTGCCTTGAATTTCACAAAACTCTTTCATTTGCTGCTCTTAGCTCTGAACCATCCCAACAGTCTTCCAAGAGATGCCTTATTATTTCTGTTTTGTAGATGAAGAAACTGAGGTTCAAAGAAGTGAAGTGATTTGCCCAAGGCCACATGATCTTAAGTGGCATAGCTGGGATTGTATCCGAAGTCCGTCTGAACCTCAGATGTCTAGCCAGAATACCACATGCCTCAAAACAGTCCTATGGGGCCAAGCGCAGTGGCTCATGCCTGTAATCCCAGCACTTTGGGAGGCCAAGGCAGGTGGATCACTTGAGGTCTAGAGTTCGAGACCAGCCTGGCCAATATGGTGAAACCCTATCTCTACTAAAAATACAAAAATTAGCTGGGCATTAGTGGCATGTTGGCGCATGCTTGTAATCCCAGCTACTCAGGAGGCTGGATGACAAAGCGAGACTTGATCTCAAAAAAATTAAATAAATAAACAAATAAATAAAAACAATCCTGTGAAACAGGCATCTGTTATACCCCAGATTCAAAGAGCTGCACAGAAAGTAAGTTCCGAGACCAGGAGGTGAAGCCAAGTTTCTCAGCACCAGAACTAGAGTTCTTTCCACCATACAACACTGCTCTAGTTGCCTCTCTTATTTCCTGCTCTGTTGCTCCAAGCTGCCAAAACAGTATCTACTATGTAGTGAGTGCTAAATAAATACCTGATGGATGAGCGAGTCCTTCTTTGAAGAGAAGTTTTGTTAGGAAAGTGGGTGATGATCTTAACTGGATGAGCCAGTGACTCATTTCACTCAAGGATTAAATCTGAATTTGAAGAAAAGCAGTTGACTTAGCTGTGAAATATGTCCCTGGGCTCCTCCCCAGTAAGGACAGAACAACTGGAGAAAGAACCCACTGTTCCTCTCTGGAATGAGAATTAAAACTATGAATAAGGCTTTTATGTTTCTCTTCTCCAGGACAATCAGGGAATAAAGATAGTTCTTGACAACATTGCGACATTGGAGAGAACAGGCGTCTAAGCATTCAAACACTACTTTCCCTCTCATTATCTGTCATTTTGTTAAAGTAAAGCCATTCACGAATTGGAAACTGTAGGATGAGAAACTGCTATGCTGTCCCATAGGGAAAACTCACTCATACGTCTCATCCATTCTCTCAATTACCGGGAAAAACACCAACACCTAAGTGGCACAAAGCGGTGAATGAAAAGGTGCTGCCATGTTCCGGGTACTCTTCCAGACAGGATTCCATTTACAGAGGAGGAAACCAAGGATCAAAGACATTCCGGAATTAGCTAATTTCCCCTATGATTAGTAAGCTCAATAGCTAGGATTTGAATCCAGGACTTCCAGAACACAGAGCCTGTGCTCTTTCCCTACACCATGATTACAGGCTACTAATGAAGGGCATTATCACAAAGGAAAGTGCCCCACAAAGAAGCTTCACTTGCTTTACCTCACACAACTGTGGGGATCAAATGAGATGGAGAGAGTAGAGATAATAATCCCCATTGTACAGATTAAGACACTGAGGCTTAGCTTTTAAAGTGGTACATATATGTAATATATGCCACATCTAATTCCCGTTTTATAATTCCTATTTTATAAAAGAGGAAACTGAAGCCCAGAGGCAATCAAGTTACATATATGCATTTATATACATTAATATTGTGTTCCTACTATATGTAGGTTATATGCTGACAGTCATCTTTCTCCAAACCTCAGTTTTATCTTTGGTGAAATGGCAATGAGTGGTTTGACCAAAAGTGGTCAGCTAGAAAGTATTGCAGTTGGAATTCGATATCTAGAACTTTCTGATTTTAAAACTTGTAAAACTTTTCTGTTATAAGGATCTATTTGCTTCTATCTTGATGTTATAAAATATGTGACTCCTATAAAATATGTGGCATCTAAATGTAGGACATTTTATTAATGGCTAGGTAGGGTAGATATCTTAGACAAATACTTCCCCACTGACTCTGTATAGAAACTTTCCAACTCTGAAGTTTATATGAATAATTCACTTAGGGAATCAAAAATATTCATTCTACCAGTGTAGGAAGACCTCATCTGAATAAATTCCGCCTGGCATGTCACTCATGAAATGGTAGGAGGAAAGGAATTTGAGACTGAACTTCCTGCAAGAGATGGGCAGTCACTTCTGTATGCCAAGTCCTTTAGGGGTGTGTTTAAATTAAAAATGTGCCTGTCCTCTGGAGGTACAAGAAAAGCTATATTGGAAAAAAACATATGTAAGACATAGTCAGAAACACATTGCCAGTCTCTGCAGAAAACTTCCTTTCTGGCCAAAGTTGTTGAGCACCAACTTCAAAGGTCAATAGAATGCCTGAGTGAGCAAGCGCACCACCATCAGGAACCAGGGAGGCTGCTACTAAGGGCAAGGAGACAGGAGACGTGGACACCAAAGAAGGTGGGGTTAGTTAGCTTGACCTTGAAGAGGAGCTGTATTTCAAAACTTTAAGGGCAGCCCAGGCAGAAACTGTGACATGAGCATAGACTTGAGTTTGGAAACTGAAATTGGAGACTAGGGCCACATTCAGAAAGATTATAAATGTCTGGGTCAGAAATTTGTACTTAATCCATCAGACAATGCTGATGGTTTTAGTAGCAAAAAAACCAATCAGAACTATTTTAGAAAAACCAATCTTTTATTTCTTCATCAAATACCTATTGGGCACATTGCCAGGCATTGCATCTTTTCATTCCCACACATCAGTGACTGGCAGGCCTACTGTCCAGGGCACAAACAGGCGATCAGCTAGTACTGCCATTCACTTTCTGGGTGGCCATGGTAGCCACCCCCCAAGACAGCCACCACAATCCCCACCTCCTGGTATCCACAGTTTGTGGAGTCCCCTGCCATGCAGTACCAGGGTTGCCTGTGTGACCAACAGAATATGGCAGAAGTGATGCTATAGCACTTCCAAGATTAGGTGATAAAAGATAGTGTGGCTAGCATTCCTTCTGGTGGCTCTCTTTCTTCACTGTATCTGGGGGAAGCCAGCAGCTATGTCATAAGCAGCACTATGATGAGGCCCATTTGGCAGTAGCAAAACTCTCCTGCCAGTTGCTCCAACCCCAGCCCTTTGAGTGAGTTTGAGCTTGGAAATTGACAACCCAGTCCTCAATGCCTGCAGCCCCAGCCAACTGCTTGACTGCAGCCTCATGAGAGATACGGATCCAGAACCAACCAACTAAGCCCCTCCCAACCTCTCTACTCTCAGAAATGAATGAACTTACACTGACACATCATTATCATCCCAAGTCCTTTCCATTGTAATATATGCTTGTTCTTCTAAACCATTCCATCTTAGGGTAATTTGCTACATAGCAATAGGTAAATAGTACAGTGATCTTCCCAGCATGGTTGATGTGAGGATAAAATGAAACAAAGAATGCCCTAGGGATTTGTGCAATTATAGAAAAGAGAGGAAGAGACAGACTCAGGGGTCAGGTGGTATGAAACACCTGTCTCCATGCAATTGACTTAGGAGGTGAAGAGCAGAAGCTGTAAGTCCCAAGCTTTCCCCAGCACTTCCAAGGTGGGTGCTGACTAGTACCTTACACAGAACAAAGTATCTCACTGACCTCCCAGATCTTCCCTGCAGGACTGCTGCTTTATAGTGCTTCACAGAAAGAAACCAAGGCTCACAGAGGTCTATGAAGTAATTCGATGACAGACACAGAGCAGAGAGGGTAAAAGCGGGGAGAAACTGAGGTATCTTGGGCCTGGTTCAGGGCAGGGAATTGGTGGTAGGGCTGCAGAGAGGTGTGGAAAAGATGATGAGAAGGGATGATGAAGATGAGAGCCCCGGGAAGGCAGCCTCTCCTGTCTCCCAGGGCAGCCAGCTCTTTGAGCCCAACAGGCTTCCCATGTGTCTCCAATTGAAGGTACGGCTCACTTTTTATCCTTTTAAAGTAAAAACTCAGGGATGCACCCAGGCCATCTGTGTTTATTAGAAGGGGCCATTTTTCCACCCTCCTGACATCCAGGAAAGGCACTCTATTCTGGAACAAAGCGTGCCTCCCACCCACCCTTTCCTCCTGTTGGCCGCCCAGCCTGGCTCCATACACCACCATTCCAGAGATGATAAATATGCTTTGTAAAATGCTCTGAAGAAGGGAGACAAAAGGTCTCCTGTTGGGTTTCACGTAGTCCTGGAAACACCTGGATATGTGGGTGCGGTCTGAGCCATTTTCCAAAATGAAATTAATATCCTCAAAACTATCTGGACCTACCAATGCTTGCCTGTACTAGAATCAACCCACTATAAAAGAAATCTTTGATCAACAAAATAAAAGTTTCTTTAAAAATCAGCTGCTAAGTTATTGACTCATTTCCTAATTGTTTTTGCTTTTCAATGTTACTAGAGTATGAAGCAATCTGTGGCTTAGGCATCTAATAAACAACACAAATAAATCTAAGGATTTATATTTTATAAAAATAAAGCCAACTTCAGGGAGGCTGAGGCATTCATTTATTAAAATTATTTTTCTATCTGGAATCAATAATTTTTATTGATAATAATCACACTCCACAGATACGTACTGGTATGTTGTTTGCAATTTGCAAAATAATTCTTCACTTAACCTTCACACCACCTATGTACAGCAGCAGGGTAAGGGCCATCAACCCCGTGTCTGGAGAGAAGGGGGCTGGGTGATAAGCGGCAGGATGGTAGTGTGGACAGGTGTGGGGTTGGAGTCAGACAAGCTCTTCCACACAATGGCCTGGGCAAGTTTTCTGTGCTCTTTCAGCCTCAGTCTCTTCATCTGCACAACAGGGATGATAACACAACCTGCTTCAACAAGGTTGTTGTCTTTACAGTTCTTCTCATAGTGCTTAGAACATAATTACTCAGTAAAAAAATGGTATTTGTGTATGTGCTGCTGTTCTTGTTGTGGCTGTTGTTATTTTAATCTACTCTGCAAGGCTGTGAGGATTAGAGGCGATGTTGGTAAAAATGCTGAACGCAGTGCCCAAATCATAGAAGGTGTTAATTTTGAAGTGGGAAGGCTGAGATTGTAAATCATGTGTTTCTAATTCCTTAATAATATTTCCTCTGCATCCCGGTTACCTGGGCATAGATCAGTGCAACATATTTCTTAGCTTTGAGTATAAATAGATTAAATATTTTTTATTAAAACAAAAAGAATGGGAGCAAGGGAGAGAGAGAAAAAGAAGCAGAGAAAGAAAGAAAAAACATTTTACTATCTGCCCTAATGCCTGTCTATACCCATGTTTTTGAAGACTCAACACATTCCCCCCCACAGCCCACCCCAGTCCTGGGTGCAGCAAGAATCATCTGCTGCGTCTATAATATCTCAGTGTCTTCCCAGCTTATAAAGGATAAAGCCAACTCCTTGTCTTCATTGGAGCCCTCCCTAGGTGGCTCTGGCCTACCTTTCCAGCCACATTCCCTCCAAGTAAATATTCCCTCCACAAACACTGCACTCCTCACCTACCCTGGACTCAGCTGTTCTTCCAGCCTCCACTCCTTGCCTTTGCTGTGACATCTGCCTGAAATGCCTTTCCTTTCTTCGCCTGGTGAGAATCTATGCACTCATCCAGCTCTGGCAGGGAGATTTGCCTTTCCCATTAGGCCATCAGCTGGGGACATCTTTGGAGACGAGGTCACTTCTCTGTGTCTCTGCTCAGTTAGCACCCAGCACAGGTGTGGCACTGAGGGGTGCAGTGTGTGTTTATTGGGAAAATCAGTGTGAGAATGAAGCAATTGGCACAAGTTCTTTCCATGGCAGAGTGGGGACCAGGGCAGCAGCCTCCCAACTGCTGGGCTGGCTGTGCTGGAGGGAACGCCTGCCTGGGACAAGGTGTTTGGAGACAGCACGTAACACTCTGTTCCTCTGCTTTGCTCATCTCCAGATGCCAGGATGATGGGAAAAAAAAAGTGGTTTTTACTCTGGTAATCACAAATCATGTGGGTGTTGCTGTGATTTTTCTTTAAAAGGATTATTAAAAGGGAGGGAACTTCAAATTATGGCCATGTAGAGACAGCATCACACATTTCAGGATAGGCCACTTTAGAGAGGAGAAAAAACACTCTTGTAATGGGCCTGGCTTGGGTCCACAGCTGTCCCTTGCCAGGTTCTAGAAATGCTGCCACAGTGGGGAGGAAGTGGGTGGCTGCAGTTACAGCAACAGACAAGTGATGTGCATTGGCTGTGCTGGCAACGCAGCCAAGGGAGCCCAGCCAGAAAGTACCACAGAGATGGCCATTCCCCAGGACACCTGCCCCCATGACTTACAAACCTGGGTTCAAGTCCCAGAAGCCTCACCTGCAAACATGGTGGCCTTCTCTGTTCAGTCGCTCTGCTTCCTGTTTGGTTAACTTTGGGTTAATAAAAACAAACCATAAGGATAGTGAGGAGGATTCAGTGAGACTGTAAGCCATAAGGACAAGTACTTAGGATCACTTCTTTCCTGGCCCCCAGTGAAGAGTTGTTGGAGGTGTGAATGAACAAACCACATTAGATAAAACCCACAACAAACAACACTAATGTTAATTTCTCCTTTCACAGCCAGGAAAAGTTGAATCCATGGTTTATTACACATTTACCCTGGATGTACTCAAGGCTATGGAGAATCCAAAGGCGAAAATGATGTGAGCCTCCCTCCAGGCTTTAGGATGATCTGGACACACATAAAACACAGGACACAGTGGGGTAAGTAGACAAAGAAAAAAAGGCAACAGGAGATTGGCTTGAGCCTGGTGGTCCCTCTGAAAAAGAGGAAAGTGAAGAAAGAAAGCTGGATGCCAGCGCATCAGGAAAGAGGGTGTTAGGAACAATTGTGGGCTACAGCTTGGGTTTTATTAGACCAGGGATCCAGGATTGCTCAGGCACCCTTACACATGAAAAATCAAAGACTGTATTAATAGCTGGACTTGTACCCAAAACCTCTAAGTGGAGTTTTCTGGAGCTTTTTCATAAGCCCTTAAGCCTAAATTCAAATCTTGGGATCATAGCATCAGCCAGGCAGCCCTATGGGCCAAGAGACCAGAGATGAACGTACTGGAACACATGTGTGACGGGAAAGAGGGAAAGGCTGGGTCTCCCTGCTGCAGGCTGGGCCCTGGCTTCCCTCCTGCTCTAAAAGTGACCCTTTAATACACAGTGATCCCTGCAATAGTATTCAATCGTTTATCTCCGTCTTGGCATCTTACTAATCAATGAACAACTTTTCCACAATGCTTGGAGAGGAGGGGAGGAGGGGGGCTGCCCTGATTCGCCCCCTCCATTCCCTCCGAGGTTGCGGGTGGGTGGGACATGTCTTACTATTTTCTGGCTCCGTACCTTTGCATCCACTGTGTCCTGTCCCTGGAATTTCCTTCTCCTCTATTTTGCTAACACCTATGCATCTTTCAAAACTTAGCCCAGGGTCACCTCCTCAGTGATGGCCTCTGTGAGTGCTCTAAGTCAGCTGCTGCCTTGAAGATAAGCACAGGGTACTGCTGTGCCCAAACTTAGCACCCACCACATTGCACTGTCATTATCAGTCTACTTCTCTAAGACCCTCAAACATGAGTGAGCTCCTTAAGGACAGGAAACCTGCCTTCTTTTTCTTTTCTAATTCAACCCCAAGGCTGTTGCTCAGAGGATGAATGTGGAAAGGGGAGAGGAGGGAAGAGTATTTTCCAACAATGTAAAGTTTTATTCTAGGTAAGAGTGACTTCCTGTCCCTTGTAGTGGGCAAACATCTTGTGCATCTTACGGAAGAGGAACCCCAACAGAAAAGAGATGAATGCAATGCTAAACCCAACCAAGATTCAACCTAAAACTTTTAGGAAAGGCAAGGTCTGGAGTTAGGAACCCACATGACAGCTTGTGTGCATGTTCTGCTTTCTCTCTCTCTCTCTTTCCCTCTGTCTCTCTCTCTCTCTTCACACACACACACACACACACACACACACGTAGTCACAGGCATCTGCATATATCCATATGCCCCCCTAATAATAGAACTCCTTCCTCATGCCAATACTTTAATCCTTAGCATGCACCTTCCCAGGTAGGACTTCATGGGAGATGCACAACACTCCTTCTCTGAGCAGTGGCAGGCCCTGCCCTTGTCTCCTAAAGGACCAGTTTGATAAGGTGGAAAGGATCTTGAATGAAAGTCAGAGGACTGGGTTTATGTCTGGAATCCATTGAGATGCAATGTTGAAAACTTTGAAAAAATTTATGCGATCTTTAAGGCCAAAGCAAGAGTTTCTGGGAAAGTTAGAACTTGTCACTTATTGAATGTCTGTGTCTACTGTAGACTGGAAGTCGCCTGGGTCAGGGCCAGTGCCTGCTCTGTTCACTGTTGCATCTTCAGAACCTAGCCGTGTGCCTGGAACAGGATCGATACTCAAATTAATATATAAGTGAATAAAAAGTGAATGTCCTCCTCTGAATTTCAGGCTGCCGTGTTTACAGGTGTCAAAGACCTAATGGAGGAACCGTGGGGTTGTCACAAAGGCCTTCCTGGCCTGAACCCTGTGAGTTATCTTTGCTGCTGACACGTGTACAGCATGTTATGAATCATAGAGAGCTTTGATCTGCTTCAGACCTCACAAGAGAGTGATTTATCCCCTATGAATGCTAGGTTCATTGAGGGTGGAATTTTAATGATTTCTGTATCCCAGGCCCCAGCCCCTGCTCTGGCACATAGCAAATGCCCAGTAAGTGTCTGCTCTTTCATTCATACAAAACAATAAAGTAATGACCGGATGCTCAGAGAAGTGGCTTGTGCGGGTCCTATGGCATACTAATGAGAGAGTCAGTGCTCCACTCCGGCCTTGGTACTTCCTGCTGTAGCACATCCAGGATTGTGTGCTTTCGTGCATGAGGCCATGAGGGAGCTTCGGAGTCAGTGACCTACACCCTGCCCTATTGCCTACTGCATCCGCCAAAGGACATGAGGCCAGACTTCTGCCCTGTTGTGGCAGGGCTCCAGCTGGGACTGACGCCATGGCTGACTAGTGTCAGGTATCTTTGGGACTATCCAAGCTTAAAATACATCTGCCTCTAGGTACGAAGAATATAAGTCATGGCATCAGCTGTGGGTTAAATTATGCCCCCAAATAGGTATGTCGTGGTCCAAATCCCCAGTACTTGAAAATGTAACCTTATTTGAAATGGAGTCTTTGCAGATGTAATCAAGTTGAGGTTAGGTCATACTGGATTAGGGTGAGTCCTAAATTCAATAAATGACATCTTTATAAAAAGCCATGTGATGACACAGAGGAGAGGCACAATGAAAATGCCATGTAACAAAGGAGGGAGGGATTGGAGTAATGTGTCCAAAAGCCAGGGAACGCTAAGTATTGCCTAGAGCACCAGAAGCTAGGAAGAAGGCAGGAAGGATCCTTCTTAGAGTTTTCAGAGGGAACATGGACCTGTGACACCTTGATTTTGGACATCTAGCCTTTGGAACTGTGAGAAAGCATATTTATATTGTTTTCAGTCACCCAGTTTATGGTTTTTTGTCACAGCAGCCACTGGGAACCATACATATAGCAATAGCCTAAAGTAAGAGATGTTTCTTTGCAATACAGGCAAGAGGAAAGGGCCTGGAGAGAGCATCCGCCAATGAAAAACAAAACTCACAGTGAACTTGAAGACCCAAAGATCCCTGTTCCACACAGTTTTAGATGGTTTATATTTTTATCAACACAATTAAATAATAGTAGACAACTCTGTGTGTGTATAATTTATATTTACACAATTGGAGAGCAGGGTTCTCTTCAAATAGGATAATCATCTGATTCGCTCATAATTTGGAGAAAAGTCAATCCAATCTATCCGTCAACAAGTCTGGTCCCTGACCAAAATCCTTGGGGCCTTAAGGAGGCAGGGCAGGGAGTATCGCTGTCCATGAGATGCTGAGGCAAAGGTCAAGAAGGAATAACAGAAAAGGTGTTCATTTGAGCTGAGTCAAGGAGGAGAAATGCACCATGGGGTTGCTTAAAACAAAATCAAGCTGACAAAAGTGAAAGGGGTTCATGAAAGAAGGAAGCACACAAAAGCCTGGTCCACTGAGGGACTAATGGTGTTCTTCTATTTGGCTGGACCCAGCAAAAAAGGGAGAAGGCAGATAAGATTTGCTGATTACCCATTCTCTACTATGTAAGTAAGTGTACCTTACATACCTATGTAAGTGTATAAGAAATGTAAGTTGTTTTTCTAGAAAGTGCCCTGTTTTGTCTTCTAAGAGCATATTCCGCCTGAGGACAGAAATCCTAATGTAATCAATTTGGGATTTTTTTTTTTTTCTCATCATGCCAGGGCTTCCTCCATCCCAAGATTGCACCTTAGTTCTGATGGGGATAGGAGTGTTGGAATGGAAAGGCTGATGTATGGTAGCAATGCACTGGGGAGAGGGACGGGGATGGGGAAGAACATCTGTGTCTCTCATCTCATCCTCAGCAGCAGCATCCATTGCAGTGTTATCTGAGCAGCCCATGCAGAGCCTGCTGCTGGTGTCTCCTCACCCAGCCTTGTGGCTCCCAGATCTGTCCCATCTCAATGTCTACCACTCTCTGCAACATGGATGTAGTAGTTTGTAACTGTGTCTACTTGGCTAAGCTAGGACCATATTTCCCTAAATTCACTTCCTGTACAATTTCAGGTTGGAGTTGGTCAAAAGACTTAATGCAAGATTTAGAAAAAGTAAAGCAGCACCACTGCTCTCTTACGGCTGTTGTATTTAGGAGAGATGAGTGACAGTTGCAGACATGCTACAGATTCTAGCATGCTCTCATTCTCCTCACTTGTCTACCTTCACAAATCTCAAAAGGGGTGGGTAGAGATTTTCTCTGATCCTTCCACTGCCCCATTCAGACTCTTATTTCCACAGCTTCTCCCACAATCATATGTGGTCTTATATCTATAATAAACCCCCTACTCCGTAATACTCACAATGGTCTACTTCCTTGATCAAACCCTGACTGATATAACAGGGAAATACTTGCCCTTCTATGGAGGTCTCTGTATCATGGTTACTGATTGTCCCCAATATCCATTCTATCTTGATTCCTGTTTCTTATAGTCCCATAGCTATAAGTTATAGCTGCTCTGATGGCCAGGAAACTAGAGATTCCATTTCTAAACCTTTCTTACAGTGAGAGATAACCATGTGACAAAACTCTGTCTAGCAAGATGTGAGAAGAAGCAATGTATCAAACATCAGGTCATGCCCTGAAGAGGAAGCAGCTTGCCTCCTTTTTCCTCTTTCCCTTCCAGCTCACTGAAATGCAGATGAGGTAGATGAGGGCTAATTGAAGCTAAGATGACTAAACCAACACGCTAAAGGGCAGTGGAATAACAAGAAAAGAAGAACGAGGGCCCCAGACAATTTGTGGTACAGAGCTGCCCTTCCTCCCTGGACCACCTGCCAGTCTAAACTTTTTTTTAAATTATTACTATTATTATGTTTTAACTTTTGGGGTATATGCGCAGTGAAATAAGCTTTCTATCACATTCAACCCACTGTTATTTGCTCAGTTAAAGAAGCTGAGCAAATATCCTATTATTCATCCCCTATGGCCACTTTTGATCCATTCATCCAGGCAAAGTGGGATAAGAACCTTGTGGGACTCACTGCATACTGGAACAATGAGCCAGATATTAGGCAGAGGCTCCCTCTTTTTTGGGTGCCAGAGTTGAGTCTATCTAAGGATTCCTTCACCCTTTGCCTCATACCCACAAGGGGAAGAGGTGACACTTGTACCAGAGACTCACTTCGATTCCTATTGCTGCTATAACAACTTTTCCATCTTTCTGCCAGCTCAGAAAGGATTGAGCTCTTTTTATGCATAAAAACATGCATCACCTCTGGGTCCTCAGCTGTTTAAGGCATAAACTTCATGGCCTGAGGCAGTCTGAACTCTTGTCTTTTGGACAACTGCTTACTGCTGGGAGCTTCAAACACCTACTTCAAAAATCCTAAAATGAACTCTTAAAAATTACTGTTCCTCCCCTAACAATCATGCCCCCTGGGCAGTGAATCTCAAACATGTTTACTGCTACCTGAAGGAAGAGGGGACAGCAATTACTATGTGACAGCATCATCTCCAACATCTGCAGGGTATAGAGCATCATGCCAGGCACACTTCATTTCCTCAATGACATGGCCTTGGGGATTAATTTCCTCAGTTCTGAAATGGACATGACATGACCCAGACAAATTAAGTGACTTGCCCAAACTTACACAGGCAGGAAGTGTTGGAACAGAGTTTCATCTGAAATTTATGCTTTTTCAGCTGCACTTCTTTGCATGGAGTAGTGTGGTGGGCTGGTGGCAGATGTGGGAGGGATATCGAACAAAGGCTAAGTGACGTGTAACCTGGAATGCCCAGTGAAGGAAAGTGGACTTTGGTTTCTGTTTTGATTTTTATTTTAGTTTGGTGTTGTAGAATTTTTGATGATTGCTTTTCTTTCATTTTTTTCCTAAAAGAAATCTAGATTAAATTTATGTTTAAAATGATCTTTTCATGTTTAACACTTTAGTATTAGGCAGAAATCTAATTATTAAATAACACAAATGTCAAAACCATGTTTCATTCCAGAATAAGGAAAGATTAAAACAGAAGTATAGAGAGCTTTTCAAAAGATACACTTTTAAAATGTTCTTTGGGTTTCTAAACTAGTCATTATTATGCCACGTTGATTATTTTTATTATGTACATATAAATGCTAGTCTTTTCCCCTGCATAATAAATGAACATTGCAAAAAAAAATCTTGCCTTTGAAAACCTATGACTTTTTTTTACAATTATACATAAAGGTTATGTGAATGTTTTTTCTGTTAAACTAAAGTTCTATTTATCTTCTCCAATACTGCCAGGATGATTTCTTTTTCTTCCACAGATTGAAAGGTAAGAGTAAGAGGGGGTCCTCGTAAGGCTATGGTAAGAGTAAGAGGGAAGTAGTGTATTAGTTTCCTGTTGCCGCTATAACAAATTATCACAAAGTTAGTGGCTTAAAACACAGATTTGTTCTTTCACAATTCTGGAGGTCAGAAGTCCAAACTCAGTTTCACTGGGCTGAAGTCAAGGTGTCAGCAGGGCTGGTTCCCTCCAAAGGCTCTGAGGGGTGAATCTACTTCCATACATTTCTCAGCTCCTGTAGCTACATGTATTTCTTGGTTGGGAGTTCCTTCCTTCATCTGCAAAGCATATCGGTCCCATCCCTGCTTCTTTCGTTCTATCACCAACTCCTCTGACTCTAATTCTTCCTGTATCCCTCTTATAAGGACTGTTGTGATTCCATCTGGCCCTCCAGATCATCCAGCATGATCTTCCCCTCTCAAGACCCCTTAATCACAGCTGCAAACCATGTCAGGTCACATATTCACAGGTTTTGGGGGTTAGGACATGATCATCTTTAGGGGCCCATTTTTCAGTCTGTCTCATGGAGAGACTGGTTAGAAGTCTGTGGCTGTGGGGATGGATGGAGATCAAGGATATGTATGGGCTTTTGTACAGCAGATGATGAAGGAAAAAGCAGAGGTTTGGAGAGCAGAGACACCTGGTCAGAACAAGCTACATAATTGTGAGGCCCAGTGCAAAATAAAAATGCAGGCCCCTTGTTAAAAAAAAGATTTAACATTTCCAGAAGGCAACAGCAGATCAAGTCAATCAGAGGCCATTCTCAGTTCAGGACCCTGTACAGCTGCACATGTTGTATGTTTACGAAGCCAGCCCTGGAACTGGGTTAGAATCCAGTCCATAGCATTTGCTAATTTTGTGACCTTGGACAAAGTCATAAACCTTTTCCCAGCCTCAGTTTTCTTATCTTAGAATTAAAAGCAACTCCTGGATTATAGGTGTGTGCATTTCCTGGGAAATAAACACTGCCATAGCAAATTACCAAAAACTAGCTGACTTAAAACAACAGAAATGGTGGGTGGAGCCAAGATGGCCGAATAGGAACAGCTCCAGTCTACAGCTCCCAGCATGAGTGATGCAGAAGACAGGTGATTTCTGCATTTCCAACTGAGGTACCAGGTTCATCTCACTGGCGAGTGCCAGACAGTGGGTGCAGACCAGTGGGTGCAGTGCACTGTGCATGAGCTGAAGCAGGGCGAGGCATCGCCTCACCCGGGAAGCGCAAGGGGTCAGGGAATTCCCTTTCCTAGTCAAAGAAAGGAGTGACAGACAGCACCTGGAAAATCGGGTCACTCCCACCCTAATACTGCGCTTTTCCAATGGGCTTCACAAACGGCACACCAGGAGATTATATCCCATACCTGGCTCGGAGGGTCCTATGCCCACGGAGCCTCGCTCTTTGCTAGCACAGCAGTCTGAGATCAAACTGCAAGGTGGCAGCGAGGCTGGGAGAGGGGTGCCCACCATTGCTCAGGCTTGAGTAGGTAAACAAAGCGGCTGGGAAGCTCAAACTAGGTGGAGCCCACCACAGCTCAAGGAGGCCTGCCTACCTCTGTAGGCTCCACTTCTGGGGGCAGGGCACAGACAAACAAAAGACAGCAATAACCTGTGCAGACTTAAATGTCCCTGTCTGACAGCTTTGAAGAGAGTAGTGGTTCTCCCAGCATGCAGCTTGAGATCTGAGAACGGGCAGACTGCCTCCTCAAGTTGGTCCCTGAGCCCCGCGTAGCCTAACTGGGAGGCATCCCCCAGTAGGGGCGGACTGACACCTCACACGGCCGGATACTCCTCTGAGACAAAACTTCCAGAGGAACGATCAGACAGCAGCATTCGTGGTTCACCAATATCCACTGTTTTGCAGCCACTGCTGCTGATACCCAGGCAAACAGGGTCTGGAGTGGACCTCCAGTAAACTCTAACAGACCTGCAGCTGAGGGTCCTCACTGTTAGAAGGAAAACTAACAAACAGAAAGGACATCCACACCAGAAACCCATCTGTACCTCACCATCATCAAAGACCAAAGGTAGATAAAACCACAAAGATGGGGAAAAAACAGAGCAGAAAAACTGGAAATTCTAAAAATCAGAGTGCCTCTCCTCCTCCAAAGGAACGCAGCTCCTCACCAGCAATGGAACAAAGCTGGACGGAGAATGACTTTGAGTACTTGAGAGAGGAAGACTTCAGAAGATCAAACTACTCCAAGCTAAAGGAGGAAGTTCGAACCAATGGCAAAGAAGTTAAAAACTTTGAAAAAAAATTAGATGAATGGATAACTAGAATAACCAATGCAGAGAAGTCCTTAAAGGACCTGATGGAGCTGAAAACCACGGCACAAGAACTACATGACGAATACACAAGCCTCAGTAACTGCTGCAATCAACTAGAAGGAAGGGTATCAGCAATGGAAGACGAAATGAATGAAATGAAGTGTGAAGAGAAGTTTAGAGAAAAAAGAATAAAAAGAAGTGAACAAAGCCTCCAAGAAATATGGGACTATGTGAAAAGACCAAATCTACGTCTAATTGGTGTACCTGAAAGTGACGGGGAGAATGGAACCAAGTTGGAAAACACTCTGCAGGATATTATCCAGGAGAACTTCCCCAATCTAGCAAGGCAGGCCAACATTCAAATTCAGGAAATACAGAGAACGCCACAAAGATACTCCTCGAGAAGGGCAACTCCAAGACACATAACTGTTAGATTCACCAAAGTTGAAATGAAGGAAAAAATGTTAAGGGCAGCCAGAGAGAAAGGTCGGGTTACCCACAAAAGGAAGCCCATCAGACTAACAGCTGATCTCTCGGCAGAAACTCTGCAAGCCAGAAGACAGTCGGGCCAATGTTCAACATTCTTAAAGAAAAGAATTTTCAGCCCAGAATTTCATATCCAGCCAAACTAAGCTTCATAAGTGAAGGAGAAATAAAATGCTTTACAGACAAGCAAATGCTGAGAGATTTTGTCACCACCAGGCCTGCCCTAAAAGAGCTCCTGAAGGAAGCACTAAACATGGAAAGGAACAACCAGTACTAGCCACTGCAAAAACATGCCAAGTTGTAAAGACCATCAAGGCTAGGAAGAAACTGCATCAACTAACGAGCAAAATAACCAGCTAACATCATAATGACAGGATCAAATTCACACATAACAATACTAACCTTAAATGCAAATGGGCTAAATGCTCCAATTAAAAGACACAAACTGGCAAATTGGATAAAGAGTCAAGACCCATCAGTGTGCTGTATTCAGGACACCCATCTCACGTGCACAGACACACATAGGCTCAAAATAAAGGGATGGAGGAAGATCTACCAAGCAAATGGAAAACAAAAAAAGGCAGGGGTTGCAATCCTAGTCTCGGATAAAACAGACTTTAAACCAACAAAGATCAAAAGAGACAAAGAAGGCCATTACATAATGGTAAAGGGATCAATTCAACAAGAAGAACTACCTATCCTAAATATATATGCACCCAATACAGGAGCACCCAGATTCATAAACAAGTCCTTAGTGACCTACAAAGGGACTTAGACTCCCACACAATAATAATGGGAGACCTTAACACCCCAAAGTCAACATTAGACGGATCAACACGACAGAAATTTAAAAAGGATATCCAGGAACTGAACTCAGCTCTGCACCAAGAGGACCTAATAGACATCTATAGAACTCTCCACCCCAAATCAACAGAATATACATTCTTTTCAGCACCACACCACACCTATTCCAAAATTGACCACATAGTTGGAAGTAAAGCTCTCCTCAGCAAATGTAAAAGAACAGAAATTATAACAAACTGTCTCTCAGACCACAGTGCAATCAAACTAGAACTCAGGATTAAGAAACTCACGCAAAACCACTCAACTACATGGAAACTGAACAACCTGTTCCTGAATGACTACTGGGTACATAACGAAATGAAGGCAGAAATAAAGATGTTCTTTGAAACCAACGAGAACAAAGACACAAAATACCAGAATCTCTGGGACACATTCAAAGCAGTGTGTAGAGGGAAATTTATAGCACTAAATGCCCACAAGAGAAAGCAGGAAAGATCTAAAATTGACACCCTAACATCACAATTAAAAGAACTAGAGAAGCAAGAGCAAACACATTCAAAAGCTAGCAGAAGGCAAGAAATAACTAAGATCAGAGCAGAACTGAAGGAAATAGAGACACAAAAAGCCCTTCAAAAAATCAATGAATCCAGGAGCTCATTTTTTGAAAAGATCAACAAAATTGATAGACCGCTAGCAAGACTAATAAAGAAGAAAAGCGAGAAGAATCAAATAGATGCAATAAAAAATGACAAAGGGGATTATCACCACCGATCCCACAGAAATACAAACTACCATCAGAGAATACTATAAACACCTCTACGCAAATAAACTAGAAAATCTAGAAGAAATGGATACATTCCTCGACACATACACTCTCCCAAGACTAAACCAGGAAGAAGTTGAATCTCTGAATAGACCAATAACAGGCTCTGAAATTGAGGCAATAATTAATAGCTTACCAACCAAAAAAAGTCCAGGACCAGATGGATTCACAGCCGAATTCCACCAGAGGTACAAGGAGGAGCTGGTACCATTCCTTCTGAAACTATTCCAATCAATAGAAAAAGAGGGAATCCTCCCTAAATCATTTTATGCAGCCAGCATCATCCTGATACCAAAGCCTGGCAGAGACACAACAAAAAAAGAGAATTTTAGACCAATATCCTTGATGAACACTGATGCAAAACTCCTCAATAAAATACTGGCAAACCGAATCCAGCAACACATCAAAAAGCTTATCCACCATGATCAAGTGGGCTTCATCCCTGAGATGCAAGGCTGGTTCAACATACAGAAATCAATAAACGTAATCCAGCATATAGACAGAACCAAAGACAAAAACCACATGATTATCTCAATAGAGGCAGAAAAGGCCTTTGACAAAATTCAACAACCTTCATGCTAAAAACTCTCAATAAATTAGGTATTGATGGGATGTATCTCAAAATAATAAGAGCTATCTATGACAAAGCCACAGCCAATATCATACTGAATGGGCAAAAACTGGAAGCATTCCCTTTGAAAACTGGCACAAGACAGGGATGCCCTCTCTCACCACTCCTATTCAACATAGTGTTGGAAGTTCTGGCCGGGGCAATCAGGCAGGAGAAGGGAATAAAGGGCATTCAATTAGGAAAACAGGAAGTTAAATTGTCCCCGTTTGCAGATGACATGATTGTATATGTAGAAAACCCCATTGTCTCAGCCCAAAATCTCCTTAAGCTGATAAGCAACTTCAGCAAAGTCTCAGGATACAAAATCAATGTACAAAAATCACAAGCATTCTTATACACCAATAACAGACAAACAGAGAGCCAAATCATGAGTGAACTACCATTCACAATTGCTTCAAAGAGAATAAAATACCCAAGAATCCAACTTACAAGGGAAGTGAAGGACCTCTTCAAGAGAACTATAAACCACTGCTCAACGAAATAAAAGAGGACACAAACAAATGGAAGACCATTCCATGCTCATGGATAGGAAGAATCAATATCGTGAAAGTGGCCATACTGCCCAAGGTAATTTATAGATTCAATGCCATCCCCATCATGCTACCAATGACTTTCTTCCCAGAATTGGAAAAAGCTATTTTAAAGTTCATATGGAACCAAAAAAGAGCTCGCATTGCCAAGACAATCCTAAGCCAAAAGAAAAGCTGGAGGCATCACGCTACCTAACTTCAAACTATACTACAAGGCTATAGTAACCAAAATAACATGGTACTGGGACCAAAACAGAGATATAGACCAATGGAACCGAACATAATATCAGAAATAATATCATACATCTACACCCATCCGATCTTTGACAAACCTGACAAAAAGAAGAAATGGGGAAAGGATTCCCTACTTAATAAATGGTGCTGGGAAAACTGGCTAGCCATATGTAGAAAGCTGAAACTGGATCCCTTCCTTACACCTTATACAAAAATTAATTCAAGGTGGATTAAAGACTTACAGGTTAGACCTAAAACCATAAAAACCCTAGAAGAAAACCTAGGCAATACCATTCAGGACATAGGCATAGGCAAGGACTTCATGTTTAAAACACCAAAAGCAATGGCAACAACAGCCAAAATTGACAAATGGGATCTAATTAAAGAGCTTCTGCACAGCAAAAGAAACCACCATCAGAGTAAACAGGCAACCTACAGAATGGGAGAAAATTTTTGCAACCTACTCATCTGACAAAGGGCTAATATCCAAAATCTACAATGAACTCAAACAAATTTACAAGAAAAAAACAAACAACCCCATCAAAAAGTGGGCCAAGGATATGAACAGACACTTCTCAAAAGAAGACATTTATGCGGCCAAAAAACACATGAAAAAATGCTCATCATCACTGGCCATCAGAGAAATGCAAATCAAAACCACAATGAGATACCATCTCACACCAGTTAGAATGGTGATCATTAAAAAGTCAGGAAACAACAGGTGCCGGAGAGGATGTGGAGAAATAGGAACAGTTTTACACTGTTAGTGGGACTGTAAACTAGTTCAACCATTGTGGAAGTCGGTGTGGGGATTCCTCAGGGATCTAGAACTAGAAATACCATTTGACCCAGCCATCCCACTACTGGGTATATACCCAAAGGATTATAAATCATGCTGCTATAAAGACACATGCACAGGTATGTTTATTGTGGCACTATTCACAATAGCAGAGACTTGGAACCAACCCAAATGTCCAACAATGATAGACTGGATTAAGAAAATGTGGCGCATATACACCATGGAATACTACACAGCCATCAAAAATGATGAGTTCATGTCCTTTGTAGGGACATGGATGAAGCTGGAAACCATCATTCTCAGCAAACTATCGCAAGGACGAAAAACCAAACACCGCATGTTCTCACTCATAGGTGGGAATTGAACAATGAGAACACATGGACACAGGAAGGGGAACATCACACACCGGGGTCTGTTGTGGGGTGGGGGGAGTGGGGAGGTATAGCATTAGGAGATATACCTAATGCTAAATGACCAGTTAATGGGTGCAGCACACCAACATGGCACATGTATACATATGTAACTAACCTGCACGTTGCACACATATACCCTAAAACTTAAAGTATAATAATAAAAAAAAAAAAAACAGAAATTTAGTCTCTCACTGTTCTGGAGGCAAAGGTTCAAAATCAAGTTGTTGGCAAGGTTGGTTCCTTCTGGAGGGTCTGGAGAGAATGCATCCCATCTCTCTCTCCCAGCTTCTCGTGTTGCCAGCAACCCTTGGCATTCGTTGGTTTGCAGGTTCATCACTCCAATCTCTGCCTCCATCTTCACATCTTCTCTGTGTTAAATCTCTCTGTCCTTTCTAAGAGCACTAGTCATTGGATTTAGGGTCCACTCTAAATCTAGGATGATCTCATCTCAAGATCCTTAACTTAATTATACCTGCAAAGGCCCTATGAATGTGACCCAAATACGGTCATATTCGTAGTTATCAGGAGTTTGAATTTCAACTTTTTGGGGCACACTATTCAATATGTGAAGTGCTCAACAGAGCACTTGGACAGAGGAAGCCCTACAAATTTTATCTATTATTACCATTATTATTACTTGACATATTAAAAATAAAACTGTAATATATTTGATAATGACTTATCATGATGGAATAGAAATCCAGAGAGGACAAGGACTCACTCCATATCAGAAGGAGAACCAAGGAGTTTGTGTATTCCAAGGGCAAGCCAAGCACAAGATGGATAAGCCCCGGAATGCAGAGTTACCCACAATGCAAAAAAGTCCCCAAGGAAACAGACCCTAGTGCAATGGGAGAAGGTCTGAAGTTGAACAAAAATGGGCACAATCCCAGGTGAGTGTTGAGAAAGAAAGGAATGCCCTGGTAGGTAAGCTGTGGCTTCACTCATTTCTACATTCAATCATCAATCATTTATCACGCATCTACTAGCATCAGGGTTACTAGGTGCTAAGGACTCTGAGCCTAGCAAGAATGTTATGTTTTGAAAGATTGCTGGTATTTTGGAACAATCTTTTAAAATTTGTTTGCTTTTATCATGAAATTAAAGTTATTGGAAAATAATGGAGGAAATTAGAAGACCCAAGCGGACAGTTGTGGCACAAAAAAGGCTTTAGGCTTCAAAAGCCAGGCAAACTAGATGTGAGGGCCTTGGTCATGCAATGTCACCTTTCTAAGCCTCACTTTTCTCCTCTATAACACAGATGATAATACTCCTCATATCTCCATGAGGGAGGTCCTGGAACGTGGAAGGTTTGTAATAAAAACACCTTTCCCTTTCAGATGAGTGTTTTAGAAAGAGGGCTTCAAATGTCCTAGCACTCTGCTATGTAATATGACACTCATTTTCCCTAAATCGACTTTCACCAGAGGCTAATGGGCTGTTTTCTTTCAGTTCAAGCAAGATATTTTCCTGGCTATGTTATAGCTGGAAAGAAAAGCAAGAAATATAGAATACAGTGAACTTGGGAAGTCTTTCCTGTAAAAACCCCAGCAGATTTATCACAGATGTCTGGCCCACTCATGGCCTTCTCCTGAATTCTATTAAGAATAATAACAAACAATCAGGAAACTGAACTCCAAAGCCCAGAAAACAGTGTTCTGGGTCTTTGGCAAAGTGGGGTCATGTGCAGACACAGGAGACCCAAAGCACCCCAGGCACTCCTTGGTTGCTGCGACAAGGAAGTCAGCAATTACTGAGCACCCCTGCAACTGGACACTGTGCTGGGCCCTTTCACACACATGCACACCTTTGGATCTTGCAAAGATCTCCGGATCCCTGTGGCCCCCATTTTTCAGATAAAAAAACCTGGGGCTCAGAGGGGTAAGTAGTTTATGCTAATGTTCTCAAGCAGGAAGGCACATTGGAGTCACTTGGGGAGTTTTTTAGAATACAGAGGTTCTGATTCAGCCGGCCTGGGGTGGGGCTCTGGCATGCGCATGTTTTTAAAGTGTCAGAGGAGAGCCCAAAGTATACATTCTGCTGGCTCCCAAGTCTGCCAGATTTAGACACGGGTCGCAGTTCTGCCAGTATCTAATGAGGTAGCATGGGGCAAGTTACTTCATCTCTCTGAGCCTCAGTTTCTACCTCGGTCAAATGGGGATAATAAAACCCAATCCATAAAGTTATTTTACCCAAGATTAAATATGGTAATGGATGAAAAGCACTTATATTAGTGGCTAACGCATAGTAAGTGCTCAATATACTGTAGCTAGAAATACAATTACTGATTAGTTGGGTGGCCTTGAGCAATTTACTTAACCCTGACACTTAATGTCCTCTTCTGTAAAATGAGGAAATCTTTAGAAAACATTTTGCTCCACTTAACCTTGAATGGGCCCCTACTAATACGTTTCTCTTCCAGTGAGGAGGGACCTTAACAGCTACTTAAGAGATGAACCAATTCTGGGCAAGCAGTAAGTTGAACAAGAAAACAATTTTTATTCCAGGCCCATGTGTTTTTGTTCTGTCTTCTGAAGATCTGGCCCGTCTTCTGTAAGCTGTATCTGCAGCCGATGCTGCTGACAGGTCTGCAAATGACTCCCAACCTGCTTTTCCAATAATATTCTCTTCATGCTTCCTAGAGCACGCACAGAAGGGAGGAGCATGACTCAGGTTGAAATCACAGTCATAGGCTCCATAATTTTGCTCTTCCAGTTCGCAGTCATGAGTGAATGATAGAATGTAGAACCCAGCCATCTGTTCACGCCTAAACATTTATGTACTATGTGCCAGATACTATTCTAGGTGCTAAAGATACTAAAATAAGACACAAGACTGGCCCTTGTGTGCACAATCAAAGGAGAGGAGACCAGTCATGAAGTGGGGTCAGCATTGTGACTGAGGGAAGAACAGATGCCTGGGGGTACACTTAGAGGGAGTTCAAAGCCAGGGATCACTCTTTTACTCACTAATGCTTTCATTATAAGCACTTGTTGTGTGCCAGGCTCTAAGCTGGGCACTGGATTATCTGGATCATCATTAGATCCAGTCTCAGGGTTGGAGCTGCTTAGGTCACTGGGCTCTCTCATCCATTTACGCCTAGGACATAATGCTATTCCCAGAGGCCTAGGCTTCTGGTGCTCAAGGCCTCTGGAGCTCTGGGCCTGTTTAGGTAGAAAAGCTGAGAGCGCACAGAGGAGAGAATGACTGTTCTACAGACATGTGTGTGGCCTTTATCCTGAGCCTGAGGCAGGCATAGAACAAGCAAGGGACACTGGGAGGGCCTGCCAGCCAGCTGTTGGGAAAAGCCGGGGAGCTAGGAGATGCAGGCATCCAGGAGAAGGGAAGGACCATTTGCCTCTTTCTTTCAGACAGAATCTCAAGCAGGGCTGTGTCAGGCACTCTGAGCAATAGAGATGTGGCCCTCCCCCAGGAACTCAGTCTACACTTGGCCAGAGGTGGCAGCAGGGCTGGAACCTGTGACCTTGCCCACAGAGCACCTCATCAGAGGGTTGATGTAGGCTCCAAAACCCATGACATGTACAGTCCCAGGTATGAGCCATTAGGATTGGAAGAAGGGATGATAATCACTTCACTTTAAATACATCTTCTTTGATAATGTTGTTTGGCTTTTTTTTCTGTTTTTTTATTATACAAACAGCTACAAGAATGGCAATGGCAGAGGCTGCCTCTTCCAATCTTTGCAAAACTCCATCTATGAGCAGGTCTCCTCATTGTCAAAGGCCCTTCATGATCTGCCCATCCAGCCAAAATGCTGTGAAGACAGAGGAGGAGGAAAAGGAGGCTCACAGAGGTGGTGTGACCTGCCTACAACTACAAGGCTGCCAAAAACAAGACAGGAAGTAAATCAGGAACCCTAACCCCACAGTTGTGTGCCTGAGGCCATGTAGCATACAACAAATGCTGTCCTCGGAAATAAGTCGGATGACTGTGCTTTGTCATAGCACACCGGATGCCCATAACGTAATCTCATTACTTACCCCGTGGTCTCATCCAACAGACAAAAGTAGGGGACATTTCAAGGGCGAGAGAGATTTCAGATGGGGACTGAAAGAATTTTGGAGTCAGCCTGGCCCAAGCGAAGCCCCATCTTTGGAGCTAAATAGTCAGGGTTCACATGTCAGCTCCGCTCACTTATTCATCATGAGAGAGCCAGCTCTGAGGATGTAATAGAAGACTGATGCCTGCAGAGGATCTGATGCATAGCAGGTATTAAATAACAGCAATCATAACTGCAACTGCAACATTTATATAGGGCTTACTGTGTGCAGGCACTGTTCTGAGTGCTCTATGTATGCCAAATCCAAATGCTCACATCAACTCTAGGAGGCAAGGAACAGCAACATTCATTCCCCTATTTTACACATGAGGCAACTAAAGCACTAAAAAGATGAAGTAACTTGCTGGGGATCACAGAGTTAGTGGGGGGGCTGGGATTTGAACCCTGGCTGCAGAAACAGGGTCCTTAACCAGTACACTATGTTACGCCCTTTTGTGAGCTGCTTCCCCTTGGTAAAATAGCACTGACTGCCTTTTACTTCCCCTAAAATCAGCAAATCTCAGAAACGACCCTGGGCCTAGCACCACAGGTTGTGGCAGCCATTCCCTAAGCAAGTGTCTTCCTGATTGATTTTCACCTCTCTGCCTCATGTCTCCTGGCTGAAGATGTCCTGATGACCCAGGCCCCAACCCACCTTTCTCAGACTGGTACAGAAATCCTCTTAGTCAGCATGCCTGGATTCTATTTGAACATTCTTCTCAGCAGCAGATAGTACAGACACTTCATAGGGGCAGGAGCAGAGATGAGTTCACTGTAAATGTCCAAGGACAAGACAAATGGGTGCCCTCCCCCCACCCAAGGCACTCTCATCTGACCCAACAGCTGACCACCCATCATCCTGTCCATCCTCCAACTTTGACCCTGTATGGGCCCCACCCAGCTGGGGGTTCTCTCACTCTCCTGGTCATCATTTCTCATTTCTCAGTGTGGGAAGGGAGAAAGACTAACGTTAGGTGGGGGATAAATTTCAACGTGACATCTCCACTAATCAGAGGTGCATGCCCACCCATGGGAAGTTTAAATGTATTGAGCATCTTCTAAAACCAGGCCTCTAGGCACAGTATGTACATACTCAGTTTTTTCATCCAGAAAATGGAGATATCTATAGTACAGTGCTACTTGGGGATGAGATCAAATCAGAGATTGTTTTATGAAGAAGGATTGACTTTGTCATTCATTCCTTCAAATAAGAAGCCTCCTGCTCGCATTTTCTTAGAACTGACCCTAGATGGGGGCTCAAAATGTCAGTTGCTGGGTGTAAAGGAAGTCTGGGGAGCCCTCTCAGGGCAGCAAGAGACCTTGGAAATAGTCCTGGCCTGGACTCAGTCCCACTGCAGCCTGTCACTTGCTGTGTAACTGGGCAAGCCCCCAATCCTCGCTGGGCCTCTACTTCTCCATCTATAAATGTGACAGCACTGATAACAATAATAGCAAACATTTTCAAAACACTTGCTATGTGCTGGGCACTGTTCCAAGAGCTTTCACATATTAATTCATTTAAATAAAAGAAATAAAATAAGATGGAGCCTGGATTGCCATGTGTCTCCTCCCAGCTCTGCTGGTCTATGACTAGTAGGCCTGCTTTGGGTGTTCGTAATTAAGCAAGGCGTTAATGGCCGTTATCTGTCCCCAGATTATGAGGACAAACAGAGTCCAGCTCTCTGATGTCAGCACCAGGCACTGGGGGTCTCCGCAGGAGGGAGATTGGCCTTTCTCAGTGAGCCAGGGAGATTGATGAGGTGTGGGGACAGCGATTGGACACAGAACAAATGAGAAAGCAAATGGGGCAGGGGGATGAGACAGAAGCAGGGAGCACGCTGGTAGTGCTTTGCAGCCTCCTGAAAGACCCCTCTTTGGAGACCTTCCAGACCTGATACACGATCCTCCCTGAGCCACGAGCCATCTGTGTCCTTTCATTGTGAACCTGGTTAAAATGGAAAATGCTTTCAGTGGTTTCTCTCTCTTCATTTATAGAGGGAGAAAATGGACTTGCTCAGGGACAAGATAACATTTTGGGCATGTTTTAAATCAGGTCCAGTTATCAAGAGCCTGCCCTTCCTCTCTCCTTCCACCTCTCACACCCCTCCCACTGCCACCCTAGAGCACAGACTTTCTACAGGAGCCACAGGTCCTGTGCCCCCAAGCTTTGACTGTGCTGGCCCCTCTTCCTGGAGCACCATTTCTTCTCATTTCCACCTGGCCAACAGCTTCATGTTCTTTAGGACTCCCATCAAGGGTCACCTTGTCATCTTTCTAAAAATGGCTTGGCCCCTCATCTGTGTGCTCACCAAGCCATAGATTTAGGCTGAATCATAGCTCTCTTCTAATCATCTCCTGATCATCTGAGTATATGTTAGAATGCCAAAAGCTCTGTCATCCATCAGAAACCAGGGTTCAAGTCCTGGTTCAACACTTCCTACCTTTATGAACTGGAGCAAACCGATTAACTTTCTTTAGCTTCAGTTTCATTGTCTGTAAAATGGGGATAACTCCAGTCCTGGTGAGGAGTAATTGAGACCATGTAGGTGGCATTGGCCTGCAGAGTGCCTAGCAGGGAGCTGGTGCTCAGCGCCACTCTGCTCAGCCTCACCTTCATTAAATGAACTTCCTGGGCCACAAAAGAAGAGGGGTTTGGGAATCTTACATTTAGAAGATCTGGATTTAATACCATTCCCTCAACCTCTTTCTTTTTTCTTTTTTTCTTTTCTTTTTTTTTTTTTTTTTTGAGGCAGAGTCTCCCTCTGTTGCCCAGGCTGGAGTGCAGTGGCACGATCTCGGCTCACCGCAACCTCTGCCTCCCGCCAACCCCTTTCTTTAGAATCATTGTTTTTGATCTCTTAGTAAGGAATTGCAGTTGCTGAGTTTTATTTTCTTTCAGATTCAACGCTTTCCAGCAGGCTTATGGGATAGTTCAAGCAATCTTCCCAGACTTGGGGAACCACCAATTAGTGGTAGATGAGATTGGCCACATCCCTATAATGTGTCCGTCCCTGGGTTAGGTGCTTCCCATGCATCTCATCTCATCTACAAGGTCGGTATCCTCATTGCACAGATGACTGTGCAGAGCAGATGGCCTGGCTTGCCATCTGCCACTTGCTTGACCTAGGAAGTTCTTGAAACTCTCAGAGCTCCTGCTTCTGTCTGGAAAATGGAAATGATAAGTGCCTAGCTCATGTGAGGAATGGATAAGAGATTGCATGTGGCAGGCTTAGTAAGGTGCCTGGTACATAGGAAACCCATGGCATGTGCAGGCTGCAGCTGCCGTTGATAAAATCAAAAGTTAGTCCTTGATAAATGTCAGTCCCTCTCTTCCTACCATAATCCCAAACCTTAAAATTTCTGCCCAGCCCCAGTGGACTTCTTTAGGTTCCTTGAATTCCCCACACTCTTTCACTTTAAAGTCTTCAGAAGGCTGTTCTCACTGCCTGAAGGGAACTTCTCCACTCCCCATTTCTGGCCAACTCCAACTCATCTTAGACCTCAGATTAAATGTCACCTCCTCCAGGAAGCTTTCCCCATTAACTTCAGACTAGGTTATGTGCTCCTCCTATGGGCAACCTATGCTTTCACTATTACATCACGTCAAAGGTAACCAAGTAATTTTTCCACATTTCAAAAAGTGAAATATAAAATGGTAAAACTATGAACATCTGGCTCTATCCAACCTGCCTCTCCTCACCCACACAAGTAATCACTTTTATTAATTTCTTGTGTATCCTTCTAGACTCACTTCAGGCAAACAAAAACATGTATTCTGACTTTCCTTCTTTCTTTCTAACATGAAAAGAGAAGACTATGGTTGACCTTTGAACCACTCAGAGGTTAGGAGCACCAGCCCCTCTCACAGTCAAAACTCTGCATATAGCTTTTGATTCTCCCAAAACCTAACTACTGATAGCCTACTGTTGACGGCAAGTCTTACCAATAACAGTTGATTAACACATATTTTGTATATGTATTATATACCTTAGTCTTATGATATAGTAAGCTAGAGAACACAAAATGTTATTAAGAAAATCACAAGGAAGAGAAAATATATTTACAATTCATTAAGTGGAAGTGGATTATCATAAAGGTCTTCATCCTTATCATCTTCACTTTGCATAGGCTGAGGGAGGGGGAGAAAAAAGGGGTTGGTCTTACTGTCTCAGGGGTATAAGCAGCGTCATGCAATTTAAACTTGTTTTGCTCAAGAGTCAACTGTACATTCTCATTTTTCTCCTTGCTCTGGTCGCTTCATACTCTACATTGGAGATCCTTCCATGTCAGGATATGGAAAGTTTCCTTATTCTTTTCTTATTCTTTTCCCACTGATGAAAACGCAGATTGTACACCTATTATGTTGTAGATGTGCAGTTGTGTCTATAGGACAAATTGGTAAATTCCAAGAATTGATGGAAAAACATTTATAATATAGTGTAATATCTTCCTCCTTTCAAATGTAAGCCCCATGAGGGTTAGGACATCTGTCTTCCCCTCTGTGCCTCCAGCCCCTGGTATGGAGCATGGTACTCAGCACACACCAGGGTAATCACCCTCCAACCATACAGCTTGACTTGAAAAGGGGTATCAATAACCAGTGCTATCCTCTTTTTAACTCCTTTTTACATAAGCTGTACTAAGTGAACCTTCTTACTGTATTCCCTTAAAAGCTAGTCCTATCATAGGCAGAGGCAACTCAAAATTCCAGGAAATGATTTATTTGAATGCTCCAGTCAGGTTTCCAAGAACTAACCTATCAAGATGCAAGAAATGAAATTTACAACAAGCCAGTGAGGATGTGCCTGGGGGTGAGCAGGCAGAGAAGAGGGAAAGGAAGGGGAAGATTAACTAGAGTAAGGGATGGAGCTCACAGCTCCTCTACAGAGCCCAGACTAGCTGAATACATATCTTCAGAGTCAATTCAAGGAACATATAATGAGCACTTGATCTCTGCCAGGCCTCATCATGCTGGGGAAACTGGGTTGCCTGAAATAAGTTTCCTACCCTTAAGGAGCTCACAGTCACAGCCATTACGATGCAGCACTACAAGGAAAGTACGATATACAAACAGGGTGTAGATGCAGCACAGAGGAGGGAGCGGTTTATGCTGTCACAGGCCAGAGACAGGAAATGGATCATAAAGAATATGACCACTCATTCATTTATTCATCCATTCAACAAATAGTTATTGAGAGCCTGCCTTGAGCCAGGCCCTGTACTAGGAATTACAGTTTCCACACAGACACCATGCCTGACTTCACTGAGTTAAGTCTAGAGAAAAAACAGACAATAAAACACACATTGTCTTTTGAATAGTAGCCATTCTGACTGGTGTGAGGTGTTATCTCATTGTGGTTTTGATTTGCATTTCTCTCATGATCAGTAATATTGAGATTTTCTTCATATACTTGTTGGTTATATGTATGTCTTCTTTTGAAAAATGCCTGTTCATGTCCTTTGCCCAGTTTTTGATGGGGTTGTTTTTCTCTTATAAATTTAAGTTCCTTGTAGATACGATGATATTGTTGGGCTCTGTGTCCCCACCCAAATCTCATGTTGAATTATGATCTCATTGTTGGAGGAGGGACCTGGTGGCAGGTGATTGGATCATGGGGGTGGATTTCCCCCTTGTCATTCTTGTGATAGTGAGTGAGTTCTCATGAGATCTGGTTGTTTAAAAGTGTGTAGCACGTCCCCCTTTACTCTCTGTCTCCTGCTAGCCATGTGAATATGTGCCTGCTTCCCCTTCACTTTCTGCCATGATCATAAGTTTCCTGAGGCCTCCCAGCCATGCTTCCCATACAGCCTGTGGAACCATGAGCCAACCAAACCTCTTTTCTTTATAAATTACCCAGTCTCGGGTAGTTCTTTATAGCAATGTGAGAACAAACTAATACATGCTATTTATTAAAAAGTCTAAAAATAACAGATGTTGGTGAGGTTGCAGACAAAAAGAAACATACACTGTTGATGGGAGTGTAAATTAGTTCAACCATTGTGAAAAGCAGTATGGTGATTCCTCAAAGAGCTAAAAACAGAACTACCATTCAACCTAGCAAGCCCATAATTGGGTATATACCCAGAAGAATATAAATCACTCTGCCACAAAGACACATGCATGCAAATGTTCACTGCAGCACTCTTCACAATAGCAAAGACATGGAATCAGCCTAAATGCCCATCAATGACAGATTAGATTTAACAAATGTGGTGCATATATACCATAGAATACTATGCAGCCATAAAAAGAATGTGACTATGTCTTTTGCAGGAACATGGATAAAGCTGGAGGCCATTATCCTTAGCATCTATTATCCTAACACAGGAATAGAAAACCAAATACCACATGTTCTCACTTATAAGCGGGAGCTAAATGATGAGAACACATGAACACAAAGAAAGGAGCAACAGACACTGGAGTCTACTTGAGGGTGAAGGGTGGGAGGAGGGAGAGGAGTAGCAAAATTAACTATCAGGTACTAAGCTTAATACCTGAGTGATGAAATAATCTGTACAACAAACCTCCATGACATGTTACCTATATAACAAAACTTCACATGTATCCCTGGACCTGAAATAAAAGTTTTTTTTTTTAAAGACACACATTGGGACACATAAGCCTGAATTGGCCTCTGGAGGCATCATCATTTACCCCTTGATTTTCCAAAGAATATCTAGAGAAATCTAGGCAGAGATGTTATTAATTGTATAGCTCCCCAAACAGACCGTCCTGTGATGTGGCTGGAAAAGAGGGATTGGTTAAGGAAGGGAGGCTGACAGTTTCACAGGATGACACAATGGTCAGATGACAAGGGGTTTTAGAGGCTGGGCTGGTTCTTTGCCATTGTTCCACCCCCTCCCAGATCCATTCTCCACTCTCTCTTTCCTGCTTTGTGCTGCTGAGGGTGACCCTCATGCTGCACGACTCAGAGGTGCCTGCAGGAAATCGGGGCAGAAGAGAAAGAGGCCAGGGTATTCCTCTGGCTCCCTCCCTGCCTTGGTATACATTTCCGGAAGAGGCTAAGACCCTCCCTGACTACACCTCCTGTGGGTGGCCCTTCCTCCCGTTCTGGGTGGGGTCCCAGAAAGCTAGTCTCCTCCCTCACTGTTCAGGCTTGGGTAGTAATGGCTTCCCACTCTTGGTAGCCTCTGGGCACCTCAACATCTCATGTTGGTTCCCTTAACCCTGCCCACATCCCGCATGATTAGGTCCTTCATTAACCTCTCTCAAACCATCTAAGCTAGAACCTGCTTCCTCCCAGCAGCCAGATTGATGTTGAGGTCTTCCTGTGGAACCCTTACCTTGTATTCTACAGACAGGAAATTAAGGTTCAGGAGGCAGAGACTTGACCATGTCACAGAGCTACTATGTGGCAGAGTTGAGATAAAATGTTAGGTCTACTGACTCTCCACCCAGGATTCTGCCCACTCCGCAACATGTCTGCAAGCACCACGATCAGCCCTAGCCCCAGTGCCCAGAACAAGGCTGGACTGAGTGGGCTCTCGCTGATACCTCTTTCTCCTTTCAGGAACTGCTGGAAATGCCATGAAATGCTGTGGTAACAACAAATGTTATCTTCCAATCTAGGGTTCTCACTAGTTCTAGAAATAATCATTATCTATTTTAAGCAGCAGGAAAGACCCTCATTCTTCTCTGATCCAAGAGACTCCATAAGCTTTGGCCCTAGAAGCGCTAACTCAGTCTCAGACACCTAGACATCTGACCTTGAAAATATAGCCCCCTCCCTCTCCCTCAGAACACAAAAGCAAAATTATTTCCCTCAAAATTCACTTGACATGATGGGTCCTGGGCTGCTCTCCTAATTTATAGGTGTTTAGACTTAGAAGGAAGACCCAGTATTGCCTAGTCCAATCCATCTCATTTTGTAGTGGGGGAAAATGAGGTCTTGAGAAAGGAAGGGATTTTCTTAACAAGGTCAGTTGCAGACCCAGACTCCTTGACTCTCGAAATAATGCTTTTCTTCAATGACCGAGTTCATTCATTGATTTGTTCATTCAAACATTTGATGAGCATCTACTACACGCCAGGGCTATAATAGCAAACAAAACCAGACATGGTCCCTGACCTCAGAGAGTTCACAGCCTAGTAAGCCATCACAGATTTTTTTCCAAATTTCCATTGAAACATCACTAGACCAGGATTCAGGAGGACCAGGTTCTAGGTTCTGGTCTTCTGTATTATGTAGTCTCATCTAAGTGGTTAAACTTTCTCACCAAAATAGAGTTAAGGAAACTCAGATAGTATCCCTAGATGGGGTTAGGATAACACAAGAAAATGCATGGGAAAAAGAGGCACAGTGTTAAACAAGGAACAGTTCTTATTAACAGTAATATGGTCCAATGTGATCAGATCTTAGGACCTCTGGACTGATTGAGAAGGCACACACCTGGAAGAACCTTAGTTATTCTGCAGATAACTGACATTGCCATAAACTTTTGAAGGATTAGGGAATATTCTGTAACAGTATTCCCTGGCTCGATGAGTAGCAATGCCATTTATTAGTCATCATATCAAGCTATATTTGGGAATCATTCATTCTCTATCCTCTTCTTCAGTCCTCCATATCATCAATGATCAAGTCCTATCAATTATATCTTTTAAACATCTTGAAAATATCTCAGAGTCTCCATCTATATCACCTCTGAATCTTCTCTGGACTACTCCAACAATCTTATCCTGAAACTCTCTACTGTTAAAATACAGTAAAACTTTCAGAGAGTTAAAATAAAACATAACTGTCATACAAATATAAAGTGAACATGTGTTAAAGATTTATTTAATGCATTAATGAGGGAACCAGCCAGATGGTAAATCTAGCTTGTAGCATATGCAAAGGGCTGAGTATTTATATTATATAAGCACTGCAGAAAGAACGTTGGAATAAGATTTCTTGTTAGATATAAAACTGGTTAATGTCCTTCACAACAATAAAACCATAGCCTTTAGAATTTTTTTAATAGGCTGAGATTATTTGCAACTCCATTAGAAAAAAAATTTACAAACCAGCATGTAATTTAGCAAAGCTGGGTTCTAATCAATAGTAAACAATATGTCAAACAAAAGTACATTCCTGTAGAGTAGAAGTTGGCAGCCACCTTTTGTTTTTGTAAATAAAGTTTTATTTACACCATTCATGCTCATTCATTTACATATTGTCTTTGGCTGTTTTCATGCTACAATGGTATTTTTGACCAACTACAGCAGAGACCATATGGACCACAAGACTAAAATATTTACTATCTGGTCCTTTGCACTAAAAGTTTGTCAACCCCTGCCATAGAGAATTAAATATCCATCAAGCATACCTGTTAGACAATGCTCTGGTATGACAATGAGAACACATGCAGAACTCTTTGCCTTATTTCCATGTTTGGGACGATTTTTTTTTTTAAATATCTCTTTCACTGTCACTTTCTTCCTACCCATTTCCAGACTCTTACCAGAGCAATCCTTCAAAAGCACACATCTTACATTGTCAATTCCCTGCTTAAAATCTTTCAAAGTATCCATTACTTAGTAATTCAGTTGTACAAATTCCTGAGTTCTTGCAACCCCCAGTCACTTTATCTGGGGGGAAGATCCACTAGAACAATATGTGTGAAAGTCTGTGTACCCCACAAAGCAGCGCACAAAGGTTTGTAATTGCATCTATGACTAGCATGGTTAGTTTTTGTCCCACATCTCAAGACAACAGAAAGACTTTGGGCGTTCTTGGTTTGAGGGAACTGAGAGTGAGAAAAGATTAATAGGTCAAAGGGTATATACAGTTGCAATTCTATAGGACAAATCAGTCTAAAGACCTAAACTACAGCGGGAGGACTATAACTAATAATATTGTATTGTATATTGGAAACTTGCTAACAATGAGAGTACATAAAAGAGAGCCAACTGTGTGAGGTGATGGATATGTTAATTTGTTTGACTGTAGTAATCACTTCATTATGTATATGTATATCCAAACATCATGTTGTACACCTTAAATATATACAATTTTTAAAAAGGATTAATACCAACTAGCCCTGAAGCTTCTGGGAACTCGTTTATAGGACTTGGCACCTGGTACAGAGCTCAGTAAATGTGAGTTTATTCTCCTACAATCCTCTTACCTTGTGTTGATCTGAAATGAGGATTATGTTTCTTAGAGGGAGAAGAGATGATAGGAGAAGGGTGGGAGCAGGGCTAGGAGGAAAAATAACAGTGAGGACAACATCTGCTTTCTATTCCCCAGGCTCAGGGGCCCAGGCCGCCCTCCTGGTGTAACGTTTCTTCGTTCCATATAAACAGAAAGGATGATTCTCGTAATCTCCGCAACAAAATACGCAGGCATAAAACTGGGTCATATTTTACTTTAATGAGAGAAATGAGGAACTGTTTCCTTCACACAGAGAAGGCTGGGTTGCCATAATTAACACCAAATGGGCCTGAGGCTGATTGCTCAAATGATGAAGAGGTTGTTGGGATTGGAAGAAACCTGGGGCCTCAGGAGCTGCTAAAACATTGCCAGCCCTCCATTACCCCCATCCCTAACCCTCCTGCCCACCCCAACTAGCCAGCTGCAGCTCCTGAAAAACAGGGAAGAGGATCAACTTTCATTACATGCTTACTAGGTGCTTTATACACACACACGTGGATATGAGCTCATGAACACAGACACACACACGCACAAAATCATGACGGTCATTTCATCCCCATTTTCCAGATCAAGAAGCTGAAGTTCAGAGAGGTGAAATAACTTGCCTAAAATTCCACAGCTTGGAAGTTACAGGATCCTTCACCATCTGGCGTTAACCTGTCTTTCAAATCTCATTTCTCCCTATAACAGCACCCTTGTATAGTTTATAATCCAATCACATAGAACCACATCTCCCTTTGTATCTACACCTGCCTTCCTGCCTGTTCATGTGCTGGTATCTCAAATTGGACAGCCCTCCCTATTTTTGCTATTGAAATCTTACTCACCTTTCAAAAGTCAACTCAAAACTAAACACAGCATGGGCCGATAAGGAACACAGAGTGGTGACATACAGCATACCTGTGGACATTGGAATCACCCAAACCATATTCAAATACCAATTCTGCCATCTAATTGACCTCTTCTCTTTGAGCCCTGTCTATCCACTTGTAAAATGAAGATAACAATACAGGGTTGTGGTAAGGAGTGAATGAGTTAGCACATATAAAATGCTTTGCATGGGACTTGGCATGCAGTCCATGACTGTTAAACTTTTTGGTTGGAAAAGCAACATTGCCAGCCATCAAGACAGAGATTTAAACAACATAGGCATTTCAAAGGTAGAGTCTCAAAATGAGACTGCTGCTTTCACAAGCAACTATTATATGTCCCAGCCTACTCCCTGACTTCCAGACAAACATACCCTCTCATTATGCCCATGCCTGCCTCCCCATCTTTCTTGTAGTGGTTACTCCAATTATGACAAACTCGGAGCCAATTCCCAGGGCTATCCCCAGACTGCTGACCCTAGACTTATGACATGCAATAACCAACATCAGATAGGGTATCTGCACTGGGAATAGTAAGTTTGGTGACAGTAACAAAATCAAACTATTGTTTTCCCTTTTGTAAGACTTCTTTGATAGAAATAAGCTGACATGCCAATATGCAAAAAGAAGAAAATAAGGGGGCTCGAAAAGACAAGAAGATGGGAGGGGCATTTTAATTATCAAGAATTAGGAGAAATTATTGGGGGATTCTACAAAATAATGACCTGAACAGGTGCTCAGGATCTTTTTGCTGTTGCAACTCCCTGGGGGTGAATCAACGACCAAAATTAACTTGGCTGATTGCAGTAGGCTAGAGAAAAAGCCACATATGGCTGAAACCTCAAATATTCGGAAAGAAGATACAGGATGAGGGATTCATTGATTGTGATAGCAAAGGAAGGACCCCAAACTCCACCTGAACAGAAGATTGCCTCTCTAGAAAAATCTGGAGTGAACACTTCAGTTATGAGGTCCAGGGAAGAAAGCCCGGTAAATCCCCTAGGATCAAAGACAGGAACCATTCCTCCAACGAGCTATGTGCAGCTCCAGGAGAGATAGCTATTCTCATAGGTGGCTGTGTCCAAGAGGAGTAGCAATGTGGGGCCAAGGGCACCCCATTTCCATTGGGACTTTAGAATAAAGAAGCTTCTGAACCTCACCCCATCTTAAAGAACCTGTCATCAGCAGCCTACTGGAGAAGACATTTCTCCTTACCTTCCAATGCCTGTCAACCTCCCTGGCCCAAAATACCCCAATGCCTAGTGTGTATATCCTCCAAACCAAGCATTTAAAGAGTAGACATTATTTTAAAAGGGATCAAAACCATTGAAGTAAGGAGACCAGTCCCAACAACTAAAACAAAGTAGCTTTTAAGGAGGCAAGACATAGTTAGAATTCTTAAGGAGATATTGTGAAAGCACAAAAATATACTTGTGGTACTTCATGAATTATTTCAGAATTTTAAGATTTAATAGAGAAGTTTTCAAACAAGAGCATTTTTTCAAATTAGGTATAAGAAGTAACCCCCAATACATGGCAAAAATACAAAAAATTGAAAATCATCTGTAAAAAGATAAGAGACACGAAAGACATATGTAGGTGATATATTATGGAAGTAACAGAGTTTCAAAAGGGGCACAAGAAACAGATGGAGGAGAATAACAGGAAGTTAGAATTAAAGAAGTTTTACTGAGGTTAGGAAAGACATGAAACTTTATATGAAAAAGATGCACCTTTGTCTTAAATAGGAATAATTTTCAAGTGACACACACTAGACATACCCTGGTGAAATTACGTAACTCAAAAAAAAAAAAAGAAAAAATATTTTTAAGCTTCTTGTGGCAACCATGAAAATGTGGCAGCCTCTCAGATCTCTTGCTGCAGAGAACGTAATTAACGGATGGCCCCATCTGCAGTCCCTCTGAATCCACCACTAAGTTTATGGGGATGCTATGCTTCCTGCAGGCTGCATGCAATGAGTAAGCATGGCAGGGATCCTACAGCAGGCCAGTCCTACAAGATGTGGGACTCTTCCAATGGACAACTTTGGCTTGAGGGCACCCCATGGGCCTGGCCAAATCTTCCTTGCAAGTGTGCCACAGTCAGAGATGACTTCAATCTAATTCCCCTGCTTTCCCTCTCTCCTTCCACAGGTTTCAGATCTACATCATGACCTGAAGGTTCTCCCAGGCTTCTCCTGCTCCCGTGCCAATAAGTCTCCTACATATCTAATCCAATCTTTGTATTGTCCTGGCAGACCTGAACATCATAGATGAATGGATGGATGAATAAATTGAGATCTATATAACATGGTGTGTGTGTGTGTGTGTGTGTGTGTGTGTGTGTGTGTGTGTGTGTCTACAGTTGTCCCCCTTTATCCACAGTTTCACATTCCACAGTTTCAGTTACCCAAGTTACAGTACAATAAGATATTTTGAGAAAGAGAGATCACATTCACATAGCTTTTATTACGGTACATTATTATAATTGTTCTATTTTATTTTTGGCTGTTGTCATTATTCTCTCACTGTGCCTAATTTGTAAGTTAAACTTTATCATAGGTACATATATATAAGAAGAAACATAGCATATATAAAGCTTGGTGCTATCCATGATTTCAGGCATCCGCTAGGGGTCTTGCAGCGTTTCTCCTGTGGATAAAGGGAGACTACCTCATACATAGTTCTGTGTGTGTATGTATTTATGTATCTAGACATAATTTTGCATGTCGCTCTTCTAAGTCTCTCTTAGACTGAAATTAAGACTTAGATTTCTCATACGCAATACTGGTAATAGAAGACACCGAATCATGATTTTTAGATTCTTGAGAGAAAAAATGATATTCGAGCAAGTGATATCTTATATTCTGCCAAGACATGAATTTTAAGGGCAGACTGAGGTGCATACTCATGATGCTCACAAAATCCCCAGTTCTTTACTTTCCAGGCACACAGAGAGATTGGCATTTCTCTATACCTCTAAAATTTGACATGATCATGTGACTTTTTTGTTCAATGAACCCAGTGAACTGTGAATGAAAATAAGTGTGTCAATTCTGGGCAGAAATATTTACTGGTGGTATGAGACTTTCTAGCATCTTCTCCCCTTGCCGTTATGATCTGGGAAGGTTGTGTTGATACAGAGAGCAACACTGAGCTATCACACAGAGGACAATCTCCCTGATGAGTCCTCTGAGACCAGCAGCAAACTTGGTATGAGCAACAAAGAAAGTTATCCTTGTTCTGAAGGCTTCAAAATTTGAGTCGTTTTGATTTCTGCGGCACAAGCCAGTCTACTTCACTAACACAAAAGCAAAGCCACAGGAAACGAAATGTAAGCTCCATGAGGGCAAGGACCTTGACTGTTCTCTGTCATAGCCCCTTTGCCCAGGCACAGCATGAATTAGTGCTGTATACATTGTTGTTGCTGCTGCTGCTATTGTTATTGAAAGAAATTTTCAGACATTGAAAAATTCAAAGAGTGTGTGCCCATGCCTCTAGCTGAGGAAATTACCTGAGGAAGAACTCTGGCCAAATGAAAACTCATTAAACCAAAATCTCAAGATAGGGAAGATGACAAATACAAGAAAGAATGGTGAGCAATAAATCTTGTGGTATTTCATAGTTAAATATAAGAGAATGATGAATGCTTGACTGGGAATTGTAATATGAGTTAAGTAAGGATTATTAAAACAGAAGAGGCATATTAAGAAAATATGGGATAATAGCATCAACATTCTGAATTTACTCAGCAAAACCCAGAAAGTATACATGTGTGAGAGAGAAGGGGTGGGTTGTGGGGTCAGATTCCACAAGGGAGCAGGAAAATGAAGAAGTTAAAACATTTAAAGCCTTCATCACTGTGCAGAGTACATGGCCAAGTAAAACAATGAGGCAAGGGGAAGAATTAGGAAGAGTTATTGAATTTTTATGTAGCAATAGAGAAGTATTTGACTGTAAAGATGGCTAACATCTGCAACAATTAAGAGGCCTATTGTTTGATCATTTATTCAACAAATAGTTATTGAGCATCCAGGATATGCCAGGTATTTTTCTAAGTGCTGGAGATAAATCAGTAAATAAGAAAGTAAATAAAACAGAGAAGGCTTATACTCTCATTCTCAAGAGGGAAGACAAGCAACACATAGGTAATCAAACAAATAACAACATAATTTCAGTGGTGATAACCTCCATTCCTGTTCCTCAGCTGAAAGTTTAGGGAAGAATAAAAATTAAGCCATTTCTAGATAAGGAGAGTATGACATTCTCTAGGCAGAAAATAAAACCTGCAAAAATTCTAAGGTAGTGATAAGATTCGCATGTTCAAGCAATAAGAAGGTCAGAAGGACAGTAGCGTGTGTATGTGTGTGTGTGTGTGTTCATTCCTGAAGGTGCCAGGTCATCTCGAACTTCACGAGGCTGAGTAAAATGTAAAACTCTTCTAATTGTGTTGGTAAGCCACTGAGAGGTTTTAAGAAGGAGAGTGTTATGATCTGATTTAAGATCACTGGCTGACATGCAGAGAAAGAGTAAAGATTGGGCAAGAGTGAAAGCGAGACACCAGTTGGAGGTGACGATGGCTTGGACCAGGGTAGTGGCAGCAGGCATGGAATGCAGGGGCCAGATTGGGATTTGTCTGAAGACACAGCTAATAGGACTTCCTGGTGGATTAGCTGTCATAGGTGAGGGGAAGGGAAGAATCAGAGTTTACTCAAAATTTTTGACTTGAGCACATGAGTATATGGTGAATGAAAAGACTTGGAAAGGACAGATTGGAGGTTGTGGGGGCAGGTTGTAAACAAAGTTATGGTTTGAGCAAGTTTGGTTTGAGATGCTTCAACATCCCAGAGGAGAGGCAAAGAACATACTTGGATATGTGAGCTTAGGAAGAAGTCAGGGATCAAGGTGAACATTTGTAGAGAGAAGATACCTGAAGCTAAAGGAAGTACTGAGGCTACTAGATGTAAATAAGCTACATATACAGTCATGCATATATTAACGACAAGGAGGCATTCTGAGAAATGCCTCATTAGGTGATGTAATCATAGTTCAAACATCACAGAAAGTAGTTATACAGACCTAGGTGGTATGGCCTGCCACTCACTTAGTGCGCTTGTGTGTGTGTGTCCTATTCCTATGTGGTATAGCCTTTTGCTCCTAGGCTACAAACCTGGACACCATGTTACTGTATTGGATGATGTAGACAATTGTAAAACAATGGTAAGTATTTACGTATCAAAACATATCTATACCTAGAATGGGTAGAGTAAAAATATGGTATAAAACATTAAGAAACTGGCACACCTGTACAGGACACTTACTGTGAATTAGCTTGCAGGACTGGAAGTTGCTCTAGGTGAGTCAGTGAGTGAGTGGTGAGCAAATGTGAAGACCTAGGACATTACTGTACAAGTTTATACAGCTGACAACACAGTAGGTTTGTTTACATCAGCATCACCACAAACAGGTGAGAAATGTGTTGTGCTATGACTTTAGGATGGCAACAGTGGCACTAGGAAATAGGAATTTTTCAGCTTCACTATAATCTTACAGGACCACCATCATATATGCAGTCTATTGTTGACCAAAACATTGTTTTGTGTCACATGACTGTTTAAAGCACCTGGTCTGGGGCTTCATACATGGTATGTGCTTAATAAATCGTTCCCTCTCCAACTCTTCTGGGGATGATTGAAGGTAGCCTATTAGAATTAACACTGGACTGAGTGTCAGGAGACTGGCACTTCCTTTCTGGTTCTCTGTGTTCTCAGCAGTTATAAAAACCATTGAATGGATGACAAGGAAGCATGAGGAAACTAGAGGGGGATGGGTATGTTCTGTATACTGATTGTGTTGATGGTTTCACCAGTGTGTATATGTCTCAAAATTCACCAAATTGTACACTTTCGACAAATGCAGGTTATTGTATGTTAATTATACCTCATTAATGCTTCTTTTAGAAAAAGGAAGAGAACAATTTCTGCTTTATTTATCTCCCTAGGTGGTTGTGTCCTTATAATTAAATAATAATTATTAAAACACTTGAAATAATAAAGATGAGACAAATGGAACATACACTGTTGCTGGTGACTTTTTGCTTCTATAAATAGCCACTGTCTTACTTGGGAGTGGAGAGTAAGAGCTGAAAATTGTATGAATGAAAATTATGAACATTTTCCTGAAAAAATGACAAGGTGAATGGCAGATGGGAAAGGGACGGTATTAGGGTTCTCCAGAGAAGCAGAACCAACAGGACATATATGTACGTGTGTGTGTGTGTGTGTGTGTGTGTGTGTGTGTGTGTGTGTGTGTATACACATATATACACATATGGAGACAGAGAGATTAGTATAAAGAATTGGCTCACATCATTATGGAGGCTCACAAGACCCAAGATCTGCAGTCAACAAGCTGGAGACCCAGAAAAGCCTATGGTGTGGTTCCAGTCTATATGCCAGCAGGCTCCAGACCCAGGAAGGGCAGATGTTTCCGTTTGAGTCCAAAGGCAGGAAAGACCCAATGTCCCAGCTTAAGGCAGTCAGGCAGAAGGGGTTTCCTCTTCCTCAGCCTTTTTATTCTATTCAGGCCTTCCACTGATTGGCTGAGGCCCACCCACATGAGAAAGGGCCATCTGCTTTCTCAGTCTACCAGTTGAAATGTTGATCTCATCCAGAACACCCTCACCAACACTCCCAGAATAATGTTTGACCAAACATCTGCATACTTCACTGCTGCCCAGTGAAGTTGACACATAAAATTAACCATCACTGGGACTATTATTTATTGAGCTCCTATTTATAGCAAACCTCTGTTGTCAATATTATTATTCCTTTTTACAAAGGAACAAAGAGGTGATGTCATCTGCCCAAGAACACAGAGCTGCCAAAAGGACAAAGCTGGATTTGAATCTCATTTCATCTGAGTCTACTGTACCAAGCTTCCCTTCTGAGAATCCAAAAATTTGAAGCTCAATGAGACCTTACAGATGATCTGGACCCTGTCCCTCTTGACGAAGCAACACAAGTGACTGAGAGAGCTGGGGCTGCAGCCCCTGCCTAGAGCTCCTCTTGCCTGGCCACATCGCCCCTACTGGGCTTGGCTTTTGGTAGGAATCTGACTCCATCTCTGGTCACTTCTTCCAGCCTAGCCTGTGAGGGGGAAAAGCCTACTCCGGGATCATGTTCTGCCCTCAAGGCCTCCACAGCACCAGTGAATGTTTCCACAGGTGACCCCCATTCTGCCCCTCACCATTCCCGGCCCCTCCTTCCTGGCTGCCATGGTAGCAGAAACCCAGATATTTCACAAGCAGCCAATTAACACCTTTTTTTCCTCCTTAGTGGAAAAAGTGATGCTCAGACTTCCTGAATTCAGGGGTATGAGGATGCCTGGTGGGGTCATCTCCTTTGTCGGGGGCCAGTTGCAATTTAGAGAAACTCATTTCTTTAAGGCTGTAAATGACGAATCCCTAAATCCTAGTGGGCTCCAGAGAAGAGATGATGGAGAGAAAAAGAAGTGGGGGAAGCGGGAGAAGAGAAATGCTTTGAGGAAAGGTGCTCCCCCAGAGAAATTCTTTCGATGATAATACCAGCTGGTGTGCATGGAGTACTGACTGTCAGCCACTACTCTAGTGCCTTGTATTATCTCAATTATCACAGTCACCCAACAAGGGAGGACCTCTTTTTGCCTCCATTTTACTAATAAAGAAACTGAGGCACAGAGGAGTTGTGTAAGTGCCCAAGGTTGCACAGGTGAGGCCTAGTAGAGCTTATGTTTTTGCTTCTGTCAGTTCAACCTCAACACCTGTGCACTATTTCTGATACAGCAGTTTACAGTTTACAAAGTGTGTTTTCATCAACTATCTCATTTGATTTTCACAACGTGCCTGTGGATTAAGATTTGCCCTCTGTCATGGTTTCCTTCTGTGTAAAATGAAATTCACAGAGTAGAGAGACTTAGCCAAGTCTACCAAATGAATCAATGCTAGACCAGGGAGATACTTGTTTATTCATTCAAAAAATGTTTATTGAATGCTTACTATGAGGCTGGCATAGTAACTGCATTAAGTTATACATCAACAAAAATAATAAGATTAAAAAATTAGATAAAAAAGGTCAGACTGTATGTGATTGTCTATGTCCCCTGCTGGCATGGAGTTCCCTTTTACTGGAGGGAGGGGCCGCCTCCTTACTCTATTCAGGCCTTCATCTGATTGGATGAGGCCCATCTGCATTAGGAAGGGCTATCTGCTTTACTCTGTCTACCAGTTCAAACACTAATCTTAACCAGAAACACCCTCACAGACACACCTAGAATAACATGTGCTGCATACTATATGCTACATACTAGCAGGGTCATAGGCAAGTACAGTATAATCTGGCTTTTTTATTGTTTTGTTTTTTATGGAGGTATAACTTAATGCAATCAAGTAAGTATGCAGCCCAATAAATGTTAAATACGAATATATTATATACATACATGCATAACTATGTTGAGGTGGTAGCTACCCTCTGAATCAAGATACAAACTACTTCCAGTACCACAGGAGCCTCCCTAATATGAAGGGTTGCCATTATTCTGACCTCTTTCACTGTAGATTTGTTTTGTCTGTTTTTGACCTTCATTTAAATGGAATCCTATAGAGTGTACTCTTTCATATATGACTTTTCTCACTCGACATTCATCCATGTTGCCTGTATTATCGTGTGTTCTTTTTTTACTGCTGTGTAGTATTCTAGTGAACAAACATATCACATGTTGCAGGTTTGTTCTCTGGGAAGTTGACTCTGAGATGTTGGTTAGCATGCAGGATAGTTACTAAGAAGTACCCTTGGGATGGAGCCCTATGGAAGGGAAGAACAGAAAACAGGATCAGAACAGAGAGAAGTCAAGAACTCAACAAAGACCCAAGGACCACCTCAGCTGACCCACAGAGAGCTCTGAAGCTAAAATGGTCCACCTTAGTTGTTCCATGTGGAGCAGAATTGCTGGATCAGTCATAGGGTGTATATCAATTTATACACTCACCAGCAAGTCCCTTAAATTTTAGCCATTCTCATGGATGGGTGTTTAGTGGTATCATTATGGTTTTGATTTGCACTCACTTCCTTAACTGACTAAACACATAGCCACCAGAAACCTGCCTGGTCAGGGTAGAACCAAATTTGAACTCAAGGTAGTTGATTCTAAAGACACCATGTTTCTCCCCATACATCACGTTTCCTCCCTCCACACCAGGAAGTGTCTCCATCCAGAGTCCAAACTATTTCTGAAGTAGTCATTGACTTGGAACCTGCTTGGTATATAGTTGTATGGTGTGTATTAGTTTCTTCTGGGGCAGACACTGCTAGTTGTCCAAAGCCAGTCCAGTCTCTACTCTTTCCTTGCTCTCATCCACATTTCAATCTGTATCTGGTGGCGATAGGCTTGGGGGAAGCCCAGTCTCAGGGTAAGCCATGATTGTAACTAACCTCTAGCCAATGAAACATGAAGCTGTGCTTTTGGGACTGCTGAGAATCACTTTGTCATCTTTTCCCCTACTTCAAACATCTTGATATGTAAAATGATAAATTTCCTTACCATTTAAACAATGTAGGTCTTCTGTTGCTTGCAGCCAAAAGCATCCTAACTTTCCCTTTCCTATACCTCAGTGTAAACAGATTGCACCTTTTCTTCCCAGCGTCTTCTTAAACTGTGGTCTGATAGAAAATGCAGAAGCATCATCCTTATAATATTTATAAGATAGATTATTTTAATTCTTATACAGAGCAGCTCTAGAGGTAGACGTTAGTGTTAACTCCATCTCATCAATGAGAAAACCATAGACCAATTTCAGCTCCTGAGAAATTAAATGGCTCAAAGAACTCTTCCAAACAGCAGCCTCATTTTTCAGACACTACAGTCAAGACCCACAGAGAAGAAGTAAGTAAAATAGCTGAAATCGGATGGACTCTGAAGTAAGTGCTTTTTTCTTTAATCTCTGTGTGAAATAGCTCTTCTAAGAAATGAGCACACGAGCATTTAAAATGGACACTTTGGACAGTCACAATACACAGTCACTCCAGGTTTTAACTGCTCCGTAAACACAGTCTTCTGCTTCAGAAGATGCAAACCTGAAGGTCTCCTGCATATCTCACAGAGGACACATATTCTGACACCCAACAGAAAATGAAAGCAACTCCTTGTCCAAGACTCGTAAAGTTAGCACCTTTGCTTAGAGGCACTGTTTTCTCTGAAGCTGGAAACTCACTGAAAACCAGACCTGCTGTGCTGAGAAAAGAACTGAGCTGAGCTGAGCTCCTTTTCCCCAGCCTCTAGATGGGTCAGATGAGAATGGTTCTTTTCAATGTAGCACATTTCAACAGCTCAAATGTCATCCGAGAGAATAGCAGGGACTTTCTCATGTTCTCAAGCCTCTAATTCTCCTGAGGCCCTCTACACTTTCCTGCCTGGGTCCTGGGGACTCAGCCTGCTTTCCTCTTTTCTTTGGTGCTGCCAGCATCCTCCTATCCCTCTACAGAGTTCTAATCACCTGATCTCCCATGCTGGAGGCTGAGAAAGGTGCAGTCTTCCAGCTCCACAAACATACTCACACTTGCTGCCCTAAATTTAAGTTCTTGGTGCTTGTATCATATAAGTTTTACTGTGGGATTCTTTTTTAACTTTTATTTTAGGTTTTGGGGTATATGTGCAGGTTTGTTATATAGGTAAACTTGTGTCATGGGAGTGTGTTGTACAGATTATTTTATCATCCACGTCCTAAGCCTAGGGCCCAATAGTTATTTTTTCTGATCCTCTCCCTCCCACTTTCTACCCTCAGGTGGGCCCCAGTGTCTGCTGTTCTCTACCCTGTGTTAAATGAGTTCTCATCACTTAGCTCACACTTATAAGTGAGAACATGTGGTATTTGGTTTTCTGTTCCTGTGTTAGCTTGCTAAGTATAATAGCCTCCAGCTCTATCCATGTTCCTGCAGAAGACCTGATCTCTTTGCTTTTTATGGCTGCATAGTATTCCATGGTATATATGTACCACATGTTGTTTATCCAGTCTGTCATTGATGGCCATTTAGTTTGATTCCACGTCTTTGTTATTGTGAATAGTGCTGCAATAAACATTTGCATGCGTGTGTCTTTATGGTAACATTATTTATATTCCTCTAGGTATATAGCCAGTAATGGGATTGCTGGGTCAAATGGTAGATCTGTTCTTAGCTCTTTGAGGAATCGCCATACTGCTTTCCACAATAGTTGAACTGATTTACATTCCCACCAACAGTGTATAAATGTTCCATATTCTCTGCAACCTCACCAGCATCTATGGGATTTTAATGCAAAAAAAAGCAAGAGCAGAATTGCAAGTAGTTTGAAGAAGAGTGCACAAGGGCCACTGCCAGCTGCAGGCAGACAAGAGGGCAGGGACAACCCACACAGGAGCTTGCAGGCCTTGTTGAGAAATTTGGACTTATCCTGAAGGCAAAGGGAAGCCATTGGATTTTAAGCTGGAGCATAACAAGATCAGATTTGGGTTTTAGAAAAAAGACTGGGGAGAAAAAGAAAGGGATAAGACTAGAGACCAAGAGACCATGGCAATAATCTGGGCTGCTTTGTCAGGTAAGGAGCTCCCTATCACTGGAGTATGCAAATAGATAGAGAAGCTGTAAGAACATCCCTATGATGGATACAAAGTCAAAATAGCTCCTGCCTGAGGTCACTTCCAGCTCTCAGGCACCAAAGTTCTCTGAGAAAACTTACATAACCCAGTCCAAACTTCACCCCCACATCATGAACCCCGAGCTCACAGGCTGTGAAACTGAGATGCGCCATGGGTGGGTGGTGGGTCTGATCACAGTTTCTCCTTCCCAGCCTGAGTAGGTTTCTGTCTCCATGGCAGGTTTAAGGTCCCCCAGCCAGTGCCCCACATGGGGACAAGGAGCAGTTCCATTTTGTTGTGCAACAGCTCGTAAATCCAGGAATTACAAACAAAGGGGATTCTGTTACAGGTAAATACCATTTGAAATACAATCTCTGTAAGGGCTTTATGTTTGTCATGAATTTTATAAATTGTTGCAGTAATTAACAGGGCATAAAACAGGCTTCCTACCCCATCTGAGAAGGCCTTCCTGAATGCTCCATTGTCAGATGTGCCCTCAGGATCTCAAAGTGGCGGTGCCCTGGGTGATGCTGGGTGTGGGATGAGGGTGGGAGCACCTTAACACTGGGAAAAACACCTCCATTTATGGGCAGTAGTTTAATGAGCTTATTTTAGGTGGCTTAGAAAAATGACATAGAGATTTACCTCCCAGGCCCTCCCTTCCATAAATTAGAATGGGGCCTGTGGCCTGGGAGACAATTAGGACCTTCCCTGCATTTAAATCAGAAGCTGGGCAATGAGAACAGTTTTCTCCCTTGCTGTGACTGTATAGGTTTGGAGAATTTTCCCACTTTTTTCCACTTGTTTTCTTTCTTTCTGGGAAAACTGTCAAAGGCTATATGGAAAATAAAGACCCCAATTCATGAACACAGGTTGGATTTCTTTCTGGAACATAGTACCTTCTTGAAGTCTCAAATGACTCACAAAATTAATTCTGAGCCCTCCTGTTCCTGCCACCCTGAAGGATGCTGTCTCCCTCCACCCAGTTTGCAGCATGTCAGGAAACAAGCCAGTAAATGTGATGTCCTTGGTACTCCCTCCTCAAGTAACTTTTAATTCAGAAACATTTCAGGTGGACAAAAAGTATAACTAGTATAAGTTATACTTGTGCACTGAAAATATAAAACATTACAGATCAAGTGAAGCCCCAGGCTCTTCTCCCATTTTTCAATTACATGTCCTGTGGGATTTTAGCAAGAAAGTGTCATGGCCAGATGAGATTTTAGGGATCTCACCCTGACTGGGGTATAAATGGGGGTAACCAAGACTGGACATAAACAGACCAGATTAGAAGGGTGTTTAATGATCTAGGCCAAAGATAATAACATTACAGTTCCTGCTCTTCACCCCTTAATGCTAAGCATGAACAATCAATAGGCAAATAAAATTTCTCGGTAATAATGGCAACTAACACTTGTCTCACCTTCAATTTACCCTGTATTTTTCCAACTCACTAAATCACCAAATCCTCTCCATAGCTTTTTATTTCATCTCCATTTTACATATATAAAAAGTGAAGCTCGAGGTGGTTTAATAATTTTCCAAGGATCATACCCCTGGGCCTCTGTAGCATTTTCTCTTGACCCTGAATCAACTCAGTGCCTAGGACAGAACCTAGCTCATAGATGGTCTGTGCTCCAAAAATGCTCAGTGGATAAATGAATTGCTCCTACCATACCTCTATTCTTTTAGGATTTAATCATATATAGCCCAGTGTCATTTTTGGCATTTACTTATATAAAATAAATAACAATAATATATTTCCAAACTTGGTAGTAAACTTCTTGAAAGAGGGGTCATGTTTCTTACCTTTTGGCACAAAGTAGAAATTCATGATTATAATTATATAACAGACATATAGACTTCTACAATCAAAAGAGATATTTGAGGACATCCAGTTAAATTCCTTCATTTTACAGAAGGGAAAACTGAGACTTGCAGGGGAAAAAAATGGCAGCCTAAGGCTCATAGAGTACATCAGAATTGTGTGTACATGCAGCTCAGCCACTTCCGCCCAGATTCCTCAGCCAGCCCATACTTAGAACCCCTCCTACGTGCCAGCCTTCAGGATGGGCACTGGAATACCACAAGCAATGAGATGCCATCCTTGCCACAGTGCTCGTGCCTAGTCCCGGGGTCACGGGGGCTTAGTGGACAACTTCTTCACAGAAAGCCATCATAGAAGAAAATATAGAAGAGCCAGGAGCCTATGGAGAAGGGAGATCCCATGCCCCAATCAATGACATTCAGATTCAATTTTTCACATTGTGTCAACAAAATAGAATATGTTTGGAAGAAAAATTTGACTGTTTAGCCATTGAGACACCAGACGTGAGCCACTGATCTTCCTAAAGAGACAGACAGGTAAAAGGGTGCTTGTCCATCATTCTGCACTGCTCACCGTAATTCAGGGGCAAGGATCATGGTGACTGCTTATGCCGTAGGTGCATCTTGGAAGCACAAGGCTCTATATGGCATTGAAAACATTCATGGGATTTACCTACGTTGATACTGGCTACAGAGCTTACACTCCGCCTGTTCAGCTGTTGCATGGTCACCTTCCAAACACAAATCTGGAGTCACCAATGTCAAAAATGTCTCTGGTCCTAATCCAGTCTTTACACTTCTAGGAATCTGCTCTAAAGAAATAGTGGTTAGTCTCGGAAAAGCACAGAAGATGTCCACTGAGCGTGCGAGCCACAGTTTATAATGAAGAACTGATAGAGTAATAATAATAATTATTATTATTATTTGTTAACTTTTTAGGTCACATGTCAGGCACTGTGTTAATGTACCTATAAATGTTATCTTGATCTCATTAGTTTTCACTATCAATTCAATAAAAAGGTCATTATTGTATCTATTATCCAGTTGAGGAAATTGAGGCTCAGAAAGGGTAATTATTTAGTCTACATTCGGTCAGAAAGCTAGTTTAAGTGATGGAGATATAATTCCTGTTCCAGGGCCAGTGATCTTACACACTAGGCTCCAGATCAAATAACAGAACAGGTAAATAAATTTTGGTATTAAATGTAATGTTATCCAATTTTTTTAATGATGTTTACAAAAACTGCCTGCAGTATCCACAGCAAATAAAAAATCAAAAGCAATTTGAAATTATACTTTGACAACTATGGTTACATGTTTGTAAACACACACACATACACACACACCTCAAAAGAATATAAACCAAAATGTGACCAGTGGTTGTGGTAAGGTAATAAGACTAGGGTGGTTATTTTATTTTGTGTCTCAATTTTTCAAACATTTTAGAATCATCATAGTAAATTATTTTGATAGTAGGAAGAGCATATTTTTATATTTATTGCTAATTGTAGTAACTGTCTACCCTCCCATTAATCATCAGTTAATCTTCTGCCAGGAACATCCACCCATGAGCAATGAAGAGTAATAATTTCCCAACCCTTTGCTGAAAAATCCTTAGTCTTAAAGGCAGAAAAGCAACAAATAGAAAAAGAATGATGGTGTACATATGTGTCATTCAGTCTCATTGCTTTCCTTTTCTTAACCTCAGCCTCTCCCAGAAACAAGACAAAGAGAACCAAAATTTCATGAAATCTCCATTTTAGTAGGAAAGGGTAATTATCTACCTGTGAAAAAGTTGTCTAGTCTATTCTATATCCAATACAAAAATCCCAAAAACAAAACTCTTATTGAACGTCCTTGTATTAGTCCATTCTTGCATTGCTCTAAAGAACTACCTGAGACTGGGTAATTTATAAAGAAAAGGCTTAATTGACTCAGTTCTGCAGGCTGTACAGAAAATTTACAATCATGGCAGAAGACAAAGGGGAAGCAGGTACATCTTACATGGCCAAAGAAAGAAGAAGAGAGAAGGGGGAGATGCCAGACACTTTTAAACAACCAGATCTCATGAGAATTCACTATCACCAGAATTGCAAGGGAGAAATCTGCCCCCATGATTCAATCACCTCCCACCAGGACCCTTCTCCAACACTGGGGATTGCAATTCAATATGAGATTTAGGTGGGGACACGGAGCCAAACCGTATCAACCCTGATTTTGTGGCACTCACTGATGTTGGGAGACAATTCTCTATGAGTCTTTCATGTTTCTACGTATCTTACAAGCAGAGGCACCAACTATCTTTTCAAAGATCTTTGTAGAGCAAAGGGCCTCAGAAGATAGAGATAGTGCTTCCCCCAGGAGCAAAGGACAGCTTTGTTTGCTGTCCTGCATAATAAAGCTACTGTCTCTCCCCAGGACAAGGGTCAGGTGGGTTTGCTTGCAACACACTATAAAAGATTTGGGTTTCCTAAGCTCTAGGTTTCTCAGCTAGCTGTAAAGCAAGCCCATTGTAAATGTATTACCCACCTGGGGTACTTTGCATCACTCCTTGGGACTTAGAGGACAAGAGAAAATGCACACAAACATGAAGCTTATGCCATTTGCTGGGCTATGAATAATAAAGCCCTTTGTCTCTGACCCAGGAGTCACTTGTCTTCTACCAGCATCCATGAAACTGTAGCAGGCTACCTTCTTAGCTTGGAGGTAGGATAAAATCTCAGATTCTTCACAGTTCCTTACAACTACTTTTTAAGACAACCTATACTACGGTTTCACGTGTGTTTATGTGCTATTCCTAGATGATGTGTAAAGTTCCTTTTTAACATTTTTTGGCTTTGCTAGTGAGGATTTAAGGTAGAGTAGAGTTCAAGCTTTTAGGAACTTAATTTTAGCTGTATGGTGACCATATGGCCTGGTTTGTCCCACATCATTATTCCATTTATGACTAATGTCCCAACATAACTATTAATAATACCCTTTTTCATTCTCAAAAGTGTCCCTGTTTGGATGATAAATTTTATAGACATTCTAATTAAAGAGAATTTTGGTGGCCAGTTTAATAACCAGAGGTAAAGTCTAAGGGCAAGAGACCACATATCCCTGTGGTATCTTTCTACCAAAACATTAGGACACAAGGTAAGGCTCCATGCTCCAGTAGAAAAATTCTACAGCATGGGCAAGTTATTTAACCTCCTTGTGCCTCGATTTCTTTATCTATAACATGGGGATAATAATGGTATTGACCTCATAAGGTTATTGTAAAGATTAAATCAGTTAGTATATGTAAATATAAAATACTTGAAACAATGCCTAAGCATGTAGTAAATATGTTAGCTATTACTAATCGCATTCATTATCACTATCATTTTTATTTAACCACAAGAGCCCTGACCTCTTTGACCACTTGTGAGCACCCAATGATCTACTTCAAGCGTTCCCAAGACCATATAGAGCCCTGAGTAGTTATTCATCTCATACCCTTGATTTCAAGCAAGACTGTATTCCCTCAAATCCAGGATGGCAGCTCATTTGGATTTTCATGAAAGTCACTGGAGGGTTCTCTACAGCAGTGTCACAGAACCATACAATAAATAATCATGAATAAATAAAAGCAACCTCATTTCTCTAAATTAGTATATGGTTCATGATTCCAAACCTTTACCATTTTGTGTATACATGTGTATGTGTGTGGGTGTGTGTGAGTGGGGTGTATATGTACCCTTATATTTTGCTAAGGACCCTACTCCATATCTAAGAGGGAAAGGACGTGCTATTAATATTTATACTCAGGCAGTGGGTATAAACCAGAACCAAGCAGGGCAAGTCAGGTCATATGATACGATTCATGGGGTCTTTGATTCTTTTTCAGACAAAATAAAGCTCCCAAAACGTAGCACTTACTATAAGAAGAAGGAAAAGAAGATGGAGGAGGAGGAGGAGGAGACAGAAAAGAAGAAGGAAGAAAATAAATTTGAAAAAATAAGTTAGAAGAAATCTACGAATCAACTCAGAATAACACTCACAAAGACACAGAATGTGTCGTCTTAGAAGTTAGCCTTTCAGTAAACGCCTTTGGGGTGTTGGGGATGGGAGGAGAGGGTTGTCTCTCCCGCTGTAACATGCCAGTGCCGTGGTGAGACAACTTAATAGCAGGGTAGCATTTCAGTTACAAATCAAGAACTCTATGTTTCAGTAAGGTCTCTTCAAACTCTGGTGGGTTAGCCTGTGGGGGAGTCTCTGAATCTGTGCACTCTATAAAAGGCAGGACATTTTTATGGCCCTGGGATTCAATAAATGTTAAAACACCAAAGGTGGCAATATAACAAGTATGCAAAATATCCTGAAGGGTCTTAAATCTCAGAGCAGCATGACTTGTATTGAGATTGTCTTCAAGTCTTGACAAGCACAATGAATGGTCCAATACACTCTCCGCTCGGCATCAAGGAGGAAGTGTTGAACATGTCAAATATGAAATGTTCCCCTTTTTAAAATTCATTTTTCTGGAAACCTGAGCTGCCTTGCAGACTCCAAATGAATGCCATGTCCTTTTTGTGAGAAGAACAATCACAAATGATGCGAGCATGTATAAAACAATGATCTTCCTGACGTAGCCCTGAGGGCCAGATCTACGCTTCACGTTCACTGCCAGCCCTGCAGAATATTTGTTCCTTCTGCGAATTTCTGGTCAGATTGAGAACAGATTTCCTGTGTATTTGTCACTTTGGTTTCCCTTGACCAGAAGGGCTGCAAGTTTCTCTTAGTCAGGAGAAATAATAATAACAACAGCAATAACAGTATGACTGCCAATGCTATTGTGCCTACCATTTACTGTGCCCTTGCTATGTGTTAGATACTGTGTTAAACTGGAGGCAATATTCATGGCCATTGGGTCCTCTGGGAAGCAGACACCGAGATGAGTTCAGAATACCAGTGGTATATTGAGGGCAATGTTTGTAAAATTGAAAAGGGAGAGAAGTCAGAATTGGGCAGGGAAAGCCTTCAGACTGAGATGCTGATCTGATACCTGGGAAAGGAAAGGGAGAAGAAGCAGGATTATTTCCTTGGAGGCCATAAGTCACTGCTCTTCTGGCTTTGGTTTCCTGCTTCACAATTTTCCTACAATTTACCCAGAAACCAATGACAAGGGCAAGCCCCTCGTGATATATACAGAGCTTGACTTCTCACAGAGCTCTGGTATCTGTTTGCTCTCACATTCTAGGATTTTTAGTGACTTTCTTGGGATTTAAAAGACAGAGCCCATTTCAGTACTCAGATCCCCACTCGAGGCACTCCTGCCATTCAAATATATGGTGCCAATCCAGGGGTAATCAGCCTGCCTTCTGTTCCCCATCCAGCTCAGGTGGAAGCATGATTGCAGTTTATACCTGTAATTTGAAGGTGAAGCTATAAATGGGATCCAGGCCAGAGTGGGTGGGGGTGGGGATGGGAGGCCATCAGACCAGCATAGATGGCATCTGGACAACAGGAGCTGGTGTTCTTTCATGTGAATAGGTTCAGGTCCCAGGGACACAAATGTCTTCCCTGGGTTACTGCTAGACAAGGCCTACATGCAGATGTGGGGTGGGTAACCTCCCATCAGTTAAGCCTCTGCACACCCTCAGTCCTAATCCTGCCATCCCCACCTGTGAGCTCCCTAAATATGCACACAGAGGCATCCTAAGGGGCATCTGGCTGCAAAATCTTCCCAGAGAAGCAGGATTGGTTTGGAACCTTCTTCCCTAAATGTCACCTCACTCTGGAGGTCCTGACAATCAGAGACACTTGGCAAAGGCAAATAGAAATCAGGACTTCTGTACAATTAGCTCAGAAACAAACCACTCAGGATAAGCTCCAGGGCTTGTCCTCACAAGCCACCAAATTTACAAAGTTCCAGTTATTAGTATTTTTGTTTACCAAAAAATAAACTGAGGTTTTCTGGCTCCAGAGTTCATGCTCTTACCCATTGTACAGTATTGCCATCTGTATAAGTTAGAGTCCAATAAGGAGACAGAAACATGATTTGAATAGTGAAAGTTTAGTATAAATAATTATTAACTAGTAACAGCAATATCAGGAAAACTAGATCCAATTTATGTTCTGAGTTCTGTGTACCATATAATGCTGCAGAGGGAATCGTTAGCAAAACATGCAAGCTTGCATAGTCCTCAGATATTACTAAGAAAGCCCTCTGTGCTAGGCACTGTGCAGAGGTGTTGGAAACTCACTGATTAAAAAAAACACAGGGGCAGCTCCTGCCCTCACAGAGTTCAGGGTCTGGAGAAAATAGCCTCGTATCTTATAGTGAAGAATTGAGAAATACCATCCCAGACGAACTAAGTGGGAACCACTCAAATTGCCTGGAATGCCTGCCAAAAAGGGACTGGCATATCTGAATCCCAACCCAAATCTAATGAATCTGAACTTTGGTGCTCAGAGGCCACATAACACTAACACCGTAATCTGATTAGCTGAGTTAAAGGAAAGTAGGAGTCCAGGAAAGCCTTCTAAAAGACTCATAAGTGCTCACCGTGATTGCATGAGAGCCAGGTGCCAGACACAGTTCTGAGCATTCTGTATGCATCTCTTTCTTTAATCCTCTAGCAGCCTGATTGCCTTCACATGTGTTAACACATTTAATCCTCACACTAACCTTTTGAGTTATTATCATCATCCTTATTTTATACAAATAAGGAAAATGAGGCAAAGAGTAGTTAAGTCATTTGTCGAGGCCACACAGATGGTAAGTAGTAGAGCTTTTCATCATTTTACTGTATTGCTATCCAACATGGCACCTAAAGAGTCAACGGGAATTTTACCAGAACACCACTCACCTCTCTCTGCCCTTCTGCCCATTGTGCAGCCTCCTCCTCTGACTGGCTGAAGGGAATGTACGTGCAAAGACCCAGAGGTAAGAAAATGCACAGACCATTTAAGGCAGTGTGCAAAGACCCAGAGGTAAGAAAAGGCACAGACCATTTAAGATGGCTTGGAGAACCTAAAGTGCTAATCCATGAGGCTAGATTGTAAACACTTAAGGTCCAGAGGATATTGCATACCGCAAAACCTGGACCCAACAGGCTAATGCTTTGAACCTCAGTTTAGCCCTTTTGACCTGCCTAAAAAATGTACTCTTCCATGCCCTGTACTGAGTGCTTCCATCCTTGTCTAAACCACAGCCATGGCATAAAGACCCCTAAGAATCTGAAATGAGGAAACCAGCAACGCCCACCTTCAATATCCTTCAAACAATCCCCAGCCTCAGGGATATCCAGCTCACAACTCTGCTGTCCATCTCCTGTTCTGTGTCATCGTTCTGCCCAAGCCCACCCTTCTGAGACAGCAACCTGTGGTCCAACCCCAGTTATGTATCTTTCCCCCTGCCACCAAGATCAACTTTTGCTGAGTCCTTCTGCTCACTGAGCTATTAATGTGACTAATTAATATAATTCATTTATTCCTTGACAATGACAAATGCCAAGCAGATGATGAAGCAGAAAAAGCTTATGCTTTGGGTCAGGAGAAATGGATTCAAGTCTTGGCTCAGCTGTTGACTAGCTCTCTGAGCCTCAGTTGCCCCATCTGTAAAACAGAATAATACCTACCCCCACAGAGTTGCTGGGAGGTGGAAGTAAGATCGTGTCAGTGAAAAGTTTTTGAAAACTCTTCACAAAAAGGATTTCTATAAACATGAAGTTGGCCATCTAACACTGTCTGGCCCATTAAACCTCCTATTGAGGCTAAATGAGGGTAGGGGTCAGGTTTGAAACCTTTTTTAAGTTTATCTGTGTCTATGGTCATGTGTGTTAGCTCTGGAATCAGAACCCCCTGCACCTGATTCAGTCTCTACCACTTATTATCTGTGAGACCTCAGACAATTTGCTTAATTTTACTGCCTTAGTTTTCCCATCTGTAAAATAGGCATAATAATAACACCTAGCTATGAGGCTGTTGTGAGAATTAAATGCAATATGGCAAGTAAGGTCTTTTGTGTAGTGCTTTTTATATAGTAAATGCTAAATAAATGTGAGTGACTTTTTAAAAATCCTCACAACCTACACAGCGCTGTGCTATTATCTACATTTTACAGATGAATAAACTGAGGCCCACACGGATGAAAGTTTCAACCAAGGACACTCAGGGAGTGGATGACATTGATAAGCTTTGAACCCAGGTCTGCGGAATGCGAATCTGCCCCTATGCTGCCAGCCCTGCTGTCTCCCAAGCTTGGCCAACAGCCTCTCACGTGGAATCATGAGCTCCTCCACGATCTCATTGGTAACATGATCTCTTAGTTAGGCCTGAGCCTAAATCCTCTCCTCTAGAGAAAGGGTCAGATGGAGATAGGATTCCTCTGAGCAGTAGAGAAGCAGGTGAGGGCAGCAAGAAGATGGGCAGGGCTGTGGAAAGCTCAGAACTGAGTGGTAAGAGCAGCCTCAGCCAGAACAGGCAGCAGAGACAGGAGAGGCAGCACTGGAAGGGGCAACAGACGCAGGGGCAGCATGAGCCTGCAAAGGCTAAAAGCCCAGGCCTGCCTCCTTTGCTATCTCCCTCTGTGTCTAGAGGGGCCCTGGTGTTTTATAAAGCTTCAACCTAGATGAAAGAAAAACTGCATTAGGAGGCTCATTTCTTCCACCCAGTGACCAGCTCGGTCCCCATTGGGAAGGATAGAACATACCACGCACAGAAAGCTCTGGCTTCCCCAAGGGGACAGCACCCAACAGCTGTCTCTGCATTAGTACCACTGATCCCACCCCTTGGTGCAAGATATTCTGACCCTCTCCTGGGGTTACCAAGGCTGATTTGGAAAAGTCCTTAGAAATCATCAACTGGAACCCTTGGCTTTTAGGTGAGGAAACTGAGGCCAAAGGTGGAAAAGTATGTGAAGAGAAATAGCCAGCTCTGCGGGCCTTGGAGGAATATTCCAATCCTTTCCCACCTAATTCATTCATTCAACACCAGGTTATAAAGATACAGGTGCTGTGCTCACAATCAGAAGCCAAAAGCTATCAACTAACAGCCCAAAGTCATGATTTTTTGATCCACTAGAATATTTTTAATTTTTAAATTAATTTATATCTTTAAATCAGCAGATTTTTCATAAATAACCAGATATTTGTCTTCTATTTAAAAATTAGACCTGGCCACATGTCCTGGGCCTGAGAACATTTTATCCTGGGCGCACTGCTTCGCCTCACACCTGGCATCCATCCCATGGCACGCTACCCTACCCTTGCTGCACAGGTTCATGCATCAGAAGTGTACTTTGCTCTCTTATATGGTTTGTAACACATGTTTATTCCCTCTACAGCAGCACTTCTTAGATTTAAATGTGCAGGTAAACCACCTGATTATGATCCTGATTCTGTAGATCTGGGGTGGACCAAACCTAACAAACTCCCAAGGGATGCCAGAGCTGCCGCTCCAGCCTGGAAGCACATTTGGAGGAGCAAGGCTCTGAAGAATACCCAGCTCTCTTAAACCTGGCTTGTACATACACCTTGACACCCTTCACTCCTCTTGTTTGTCTAACTTCAACCTCTCTGTAAGAGGCCTCAGTTTAGGTATTCCCTCCTCCAAGAAGCTTTCCCTGATTGCCCATCATAGGTTAAGCTCAGGCCTCAATTCTCACAACGTTTTGTGCTTCCCTCTGTCCCAGGTAAACAAACAAATATGATATCGTGTGATGTCTTCCCCAATCAACTCTTGAGACAGGGACTCCACTCCTGTTGCTTCCTTATCCCCATAGTGTCAGGCATGTAATGGGCACCTTAAAACATGTGTTTGAATGAGGGTCTCTGAACTCTGACTCCTTATTCATTCATGTAGCCCATTGTGGGGGGCACTGCCTCAGACCTTGGTGGAACGGAACTAAATTCAAATCCTTAACAGCTGTCGGTGAACTTTACACAGATTGAGCTCTTCGAATCTAGCTTGATTTTATCTGTAAAATGAGTATTAAAGTACATACTTCTCAGGTCTCCTCTAAGCATGGAATTAAATCATACATCTAGCCCAGTGCCTGGCACACAGTAGAAGATGAATAAATGCTCATTACAATTCACCTCCTGGCTTGTGAGGCCCTGGGTGCTGCACGGCTGTGGAAACAAGCAAAGGCTGATCAGAACAAGCCTTTTCAAGGCTTTCCTGGCCTGGAGATGCCTACAGCCTGGGAACCCATCTCCTCCTCTGATCACAGACAGGACCCAGGCAGGAGGGTGAGTAGTTGCAATCTTGGAGCAGTGGAAGCAACAGGTGGGTGTAGACTTTGAGCTTCTCATTTCTACCTGGCTGTTAGATTTGTGGTTTCAGGCATACCTTTCTCATAGCCTCTCTCCAACTGGTTTTGGAGGGCCTTTTTTCTCTCCTCCTCTTTTTCCTCACCTCTTCCTGCGTCCTGCAATCATCAAAGGTAGTCTTGGCTCAGGTAACATGGTGTGTATTAGGTCCAGGGCCATGACTACACCAAATGTCACGCTCAGGGTTAGGTTCCAGCTCATGCTGAGGTTGTAGGGGAGTGGGTGGGTGGGTGATAGCTGAAAAAACACTTGGGGGGCCATCAGCAGGTGAAATGTAGTTTTATTCAGAAGCTCTCTCATCAGCAGCTTAATTACACTAGCTCTCTCACACTCTCCGCTTTGAGTCAGCTGCTTGCTCTGTGTGCTCCCACACACACCTGCGTGGCCAGCTCTCCCTTATCTTTAGGGTCAGCAGCATAACTCTTTCTCCCTTGGCACAAGCCGGTTCCTGGCTCCCTCCTGTCCATCTGCCAGACAGTCACTCTCCTTGATAGGGGTCAGTAGCTTCACTCTCAGTCTGGGTGCCAGCATCTGCGCAAAAGCCATGTTGAGCCATGCCCAAGAGTGCCTGCACAGTGTCAGCTGGGCAGTGGTACCTTCTACAGACAACAGTAACTCTGAGCCAGGCGATGAGCTTGCACAAACAGGTTATATAACAAGTGAAGTATGTGCCTGCACCCTAAACTCGCTCAGTCACTTTGGCCTGGATGTCTGCCTCAGCCTATTCCTTGACCAAAGCACATCCCCTTACCTTACAGTGTGTTAGCAAGGACGAGGGAGCCAAAAATTCAGGTATCCATTTCTATCTTTGCTCCTTACAATCTGTGTGCCTTTAACTTTTCCAAGCCTCATGTATTAGTTATCTATTGCTGAATAACAAATTAGTCCAAAATTTAGCAACTTGGAACAGTACTCATTATCTCACATGGTACTGATGCATCCAGAATCTAGGAGCAGCTAGGCTGGATGGTTCTGGTTCAGGGTCTCTCATGAGGTTGCAGTTACCCAAAAGTTTGACAACAGCTGAAAGATCTGCTTTCTCAATGGCTGACACACATGGCTGTTGGTGGGAGGCCTCAGTTCCTGGCCACAGCCCCACAACATGGCAGCTGGCTTCCCCCAGGGCAGGTGATCAAGAGAAAGCAAGAGGCACCAACACAGAAAAGTAGTATTTATAACCTAATATTAGAAGTGACATATCATCACTTCTGCCATATACCACTGGTCCCACCCAGGGACAGTGTGGGAGGGGACTACACAATGGAGTGAGTACCAGGAGGCAGGACCACTGGGGACCATCTTGGAGGCTGATAACCTGTTATGGCTTTCCTCCAGGAAGTCCTCCCTGACCATCCCCTCACAGAGATCTGGCCTTGTGTGTGCCCTTCACATGGTACTTCACAGATTCTGTCAGCAAGAGCCATCAGAACTAGGGGGAGGGAGGCAAGCCACACAGTAGGGAGGAGACAGCAGGGTGAGGTCTTAGAGACTAAACAGACAGGCCCTGAGAAGACATCAGGCTGAGGATCACCTGCCATGGAGCAGGCATGGCACATGCTCCCCAGACAGTTCATTTAGCTTTTCCAGCTCCACATAGAGGTAAGAATTCTTGAACTTGTTAAGCCTCAGTTTTCCCATATGCACAAGAGAGGTAAGTTACTTGCCTAAAGTCACAGCAGAGAGCCCATGCCAGGGCTGGAATTCAAACCCAGGCCTGTCTGATGCCTGTGCCCTTCCCTAGTGCAGCCTGCCTCTTGGAGGGAAAGCTACCTGGGCCAGCAAGCCGAGCACTGCGCCTGGAGATCAGGGTGACAGGTAAGAGGGGTGAGGTCTCGAGTGCCCACCTAAGGAGGTAGGCTTTTTCTTGAGGCCACTAGGGAGCCATTTGAAGGTTTTAAGCAGTGTAAGCAGTATGGACTGATCAGTGTTTCGAAAAGATCATTCTGGCAGAAGCATAGAGATGGATGGATGGGGAGAAACTGGATCAGTGGTTCTCAAACTGTGGTCCCAGACCACAGCTTCACCTGGGAGCTTGTTAGAAATGCACAGTCTCACCCCACCACAAACCCACTGAATCAGAAAATCTGGGAGTGCGGCCCATCAGTTTGTTTTCACAAGACCTGCAGGTGATTCTAATGTTCCCTAAGATCTGAGAACCACTGGACTGGAGGTCACAAAATCAGCTAAGAGTTTGTTAAAATACTTTGAAGAAAAAAAATGATAGATGCATAAACCAGAGCAATGCTGATATTAAATTACCAGCTTTAGCCTGGGCAACAAAGTGAGACCCCCAACTCAACAAACAGCAATAACAAGAAAGCAGGGTGTGGCGACAAGCACCTGTAGTCCCAAGTGCTCAACAGGCTGAAGTTGGAGGATCCCTTGAGTCCAGGAGTTCAAGGCTGCAGTGAGCTACGATCCCAGCACTCACTCCAGCCTGGGGAAAAGAGTGAGACCCTGTCTTTAAATAAATAAATAGACTTTATGTCTTATTTAATTTCCATTTCCATTTAAATCATGTGTAAATTATCAACAATGATCTTGAAATATGTAAATGATGATTCCCATTTTTCAGATGTGGAAACTGGGGTTCAAAAGATATTGCAGCAAAGGTCACATATCTACAGGATGACATTGCAATTTCTCATCCAAACAGGAACACGTTCGAAAGGGAAAGGAGATGCTAATATTCATTCCACAGAGTCAGTAGGGCTGAACTGGGACTGTACTAGGCAAACCAGGATATAGGATCAGCTTTCATATACAAACTATGAGAGAGCTGGAATGCAAATCCAGGACCATATGTCTCCAAGTCTCCGATATCTGTGCCCCTCCATAATCTGCCCCCAGAATCTGCTTCTTTGCTCAGCCTAGAGAAATCAGGGGTCTGGGGGACCAAAGTTTTGGATGATGCCCACCAGGGTTTCTCCTGGAGGACTGAGACAGATGGGAGGGAGTGACGCAATTTTTGTCCATCTGCTCCTTGTTTAGGTCTGGGCAACCTGACCTGTTTTTACTTCATCTTTAGTCTGAAACATAAGCAACATGTCACAGTTTTATTCGGAAATGTTACTAAAGGTCAGAGCAAAAGGGAGCATGTAAGGCTGCCCTGGGCCCTTCTCAAACTCTCTCCAGAAGCAACTATGGGCTTTGATGTGCTGCAGCCTCACTCGAGGGTCTTAACAAGCTCTTCTTGGTTCTCATGGAGGCAGAGGCTACCACCACTATCCTGGGAGTGTTTGAGCACTCCATAGTTTGCAAAATGCTTTCACATCTGTGTCTCAGCAACTATTTCCTTAGGGCCCACACCTGCCTATAAAGAAGGGATTGAAGTTTCCCATTGGGCAGAGGAAAGAACTGGGGCTGGGAGGAGTAAAGCAACTTACACAAAAGTCACCAGCCAGTGCGTGGCTGCCCAGCTTGTCTTTCTTTTGTAATTGTCCACTCTACCATTTATTAATTTAGAAATAGAAAAACTTGTCAATTTGCTTGAAGAGGAATAAATCTGAACTCATAGCATCTTTCCTTCCATTTTTAAGATAAAAAAATATTAGGAGTTAGCCTTTAATGGTGAGTTTAACTTCATTCTATTATCTCTAGTTCATTGAGATACAAAAATGGAAAAGTCGTTCAGTCCAAATTCTTTTGATTCCAAGGTCATTATGCAGTCCAGAGGGCTAAAGCTATGATAATGCCTGGGAAACTGATGATAGCATTGTTTTCACATCTACTATATGTCAGGGACTACCTGAGCACATAACATTTGTTACCTTATTCAATTCCCTCTTTCTAGATGAGAAACCTGAAGTGAAGAGGGGATAAGGACTTCCTGGTGGGCACACATGTAATGAGTGGTATAGCCAAGATTCAAACTCTGTCCAATTCCAAACTCAGTGCCCCCCGAGGAGGGCAACATTAGAAAAATCCATTTCAATTCTATGTCTTGGGTCTTGTTAAAAATTCTCCAGGGTCAAATCCTATACAAGGGACAGGAAGAAAAACTAAAGATTCCTCTACACCCTTTCCTGTCTCTTCAAACCTCCAACACCTCCTCCCTCCTCCTCTCTCTTAGCTAATGGCCTTGCTTGCTCTTGTCACAGAAAATAGATGCATTCCAAAGCTAACTTCCACACACTCATACATTCTCTCCAATCCCGACCCTACATCCGGTCCTGTGTGCCCTGCCTTCCCTCCCAACACTCTAGATGGTCCGTCCTGCTGCCACCTGAGGTCAGTTCTGCCACGGATGGTCTAGACTTCCTCTGCCACTTTGCAAGGACACAAGTGGAGTAATTGACACATTCTCTCCTATACTATCTAATTTCCCCTTTCCCTTTCCCATCAACATGTGAACACATTGTGTCTTTCCTACCTTTACAAAACCTGGACTTGACTCTTCATGCCCCTCCAGCCACTACCCCCTTTCTCTGCTCCCCTTTATAGAAAAACTCCTCAAACAAGTTTCTGTCTTCTCCCTGTCTCACCTTCCTCCCTCTGATTTCACCTGAACCCTCTCCAGTCATGTTTCCACCCCACATTCCATGGAAACAACTTTGTTGAGGTCACCAATGACCTCCATGTTGCTAAACTCAATAGTCAATTGCTTCTACCTAACAGCAGCTTTTGACACAGTTGATTACTCTTTCCTTCTTGATACTCTTTCTTAATTCAGCTTCCAACATTTTATTGATTCCCCTCCTCTGTCATTGATGCCTCCTTTTCAGTCTCTTCTGATGGTTCCTTCTCTTCTCCCTTTCTCCTAAAGTTGGAGGGCTAGAGGGCTCTTCAAATCTCTTCTCTTCTGTCTCGGATGGATGGATGGATGGACGGATGGATGGATGGATGAATGGATGGCTGGATGGATAGATGTAAAAACTGGTAGATACTTTGTGATCTCATCCACATCCAATTTTATAGATTTATGTATCATATGCTGAAAACTTCTAAACATGCATCTCTATCCCAGCCCTCTCTCCTAAATCCCTGACTCTCATACCTCTCTACTCAACAACTACATCTAGATATATGATAGATATTTCAGACTCCTAATGTGAGCTCCCCATCTTCTTCCCAAGCCCTGCTTAACTTCCACTTTTCTTCATCCACGTTGAGGGCAAGGCTAACCTTCCAGTTAGATAAGCAGCAGCTTTGGGTCATCCTTGACTTCTCTCTTTTTCCCATATCCTGCATCCAATCTGTTAGAAAACCGTACAGGGTTTACCTTCAAAACAGATCCAGAATCTGACCACTTCTGTTATCATTCCAGTCTGAAGCATCATCATCTTGAGCCTGGTTTATCCAGCAGCCTCCTAACTGATCTTAGGAGGTCAGTTGCCTGTTGCCAGCCCTATCCCTGACAGTCTACGCTCAACAGAGCTACTAGAATGATCCATTTGAAAAATAAGACGGGTAAGTTATTTCTCGATTCAGAATTCCCCATTTGCTCCTCATTTTGCTCAGAGCCAAAGCTAAAGTTTTAACAATGGATTATAGTTTCTACATGTCTGGATGCCCTGTCGCCACTCTGACTTCACCCCTGCTGCTGTCCTTCCCACCCCAGCCACACTGGCCTCCTTGGCATTGTCTGTCTGCCTAGAATTCTTTCTTCTAAGATATATGCATGGTTTCCTCCTTCAAGCCTCTGGTCAAAAGATAACTTCTCTAAAATTATATAATAACTGCCCTGCTCCCAGCACTCCCAGTCCCCCCAACCAGCTCTATTTTTCTCAGAGCATTTAATGTTTTAGAATGTACTCTATATTTTAATTTTTTATTGTGTTTATTGTTTATTGTCAATCTTCCCCCATTACAATGTAAGTTCCAAGACAGCGCAGCTTTTTCTCTCTTCTGTTTACTGACGTAGCCCAAATACCTAGAAAAATGCCTGGCACGCAGGTGCTTAAGAAATAGTTGTCGAATGAATGAGTGTGAGAGAAATGTCCCTTCCCTGAAAGATTTTGCAGCTGGCTAGGGAGGCTTTGGGACAGGCACCACCCAGTTGCCAGATGCCCTTGAATCCCTTCCCTCACTCTCCCATTCATTTCTTCAAACGCCTGCTTAGCAATGGCTCTGCCACTCACCAGCAGGGCTGCCTCTGGAAATTTGTCATCCCTTGAACTTGCAAGATCTTTATAAATAACCCCAATAACCTCTATTTCTTGAGTAATAATTACGCATAGGTAATGTGCTAGGTATTCTAAGTATATTATTTATCCTCCTCACAGCACCATTGAAAGGCAATTTAAAGTTTCAACTTCAACATCTGTAAATGAAGATATTGAAAAGCTGCAGAGCTTGTTCTGATTTACAATTTAGAGAATGATAGAGCTGTGACCCGAAGCTGGATTCACTGGCCCCCAAAGCCTATGTTGCTTTCACTCCTGCCTTGCTCAGAAAGACAGAGTGCTGTGGCCAAACAGCTTCCAACTTCTTATCCTACTTCACTCCCTTTCTTTTTCCGAAGCCATACTCCTTCCTGTAATGAGCACCTTAGGAACATGGACTCTGGACCTACACTCTCTGAGTTCAAGCCCTGGCTTCATCACTTACTTGCTGTGTGTCTTTGGGAAAATTACTTACCTCCCCTACTTCTCACTTTCCTCATCTGCAAAATGTGGATAATAACAGTACCTATCTCAGGAGGTTATGTCTGGATTAAATTAGTTAACACATCTATAGCACTTAAAATTATACCTGGAATGTGGTAGGATTAATAAATGCAACAGTTGTTGTTTGTTATTTGTTATTGTTTTTATCCCACCTGAATCACAAGATTAGTCACAGGGAACTCTAAAGCACTGGAAGGAAACATTCCAAAATATGCAAAGAAATTGTCCCTAGCAGTGAGATTACGGATGATTTTTATCTTCTTTATGATTCTCTACACTTTCCTCATTTTCTGTATTTATGGGCTGAATTATATTCCCTCTGCACCAAAATTCACATGTTTAAGGCCTAAACCCAATACTTCAGAATGTGACTGTATTTGGAGACAGAGCTTTTTAAAAGAGGTGACTAAGTTAAAATGAGGCTAATAGGGTAGGCCCTAAAGCAATCTGACTATTGCCCTTACAATAGAGGGAATTTGGACACACAGAGACACCAGGAATGTGCACACACAGAGGAAAGATTATGTGAAGGCACAGCAAGGAGGCAGCCATTGGCAAGCTGAGAAGAGAAACCTCAGAAGAAGCTAACCCTAACGGCACCTTGACCTTGGACTTCCAGTCTCCAAACCTACACGAAAAAGAACTTCCGTTATTTAAGCCACCCAGTCTATGGTGTGTGTTATAACAACTTAAGTAGACTAATGTATTATACTTTCTAAATTATCTATAACGAATGTGTAGTATTTTCTTTCAAAAATCCTCTTTTCCTAAGTCTACAAAAATAATAAGAGCTAATGAAGGAAAGGTGGATAGGGCATAGACATTAAAGAACCTTAAGTCATCTGTACTTGTAAGATTCATGCATACAAGTATACACCTGGCACACACATTCCCACACATTCATCCTCACACCCTAAGGAAAGAAATGGGAAATGTTAATATGACATAGATAATCCTGCTGTTGGTGTTGAGTCAGTTTTAATAATAGAGCCTCATTTTCTTCATCAATAAAAGGGAGTAATACCAAAACGTCTCAGAGGGGCATACTGTGAAAAATGAAGGGGGTTGGGAGAAGGAAAGCCTTCTGTAAGTGACAAGACAACCCAGATGTGAAAAACTACTATTCTTGGGAGATGCCAGAGAGCCCTTGTTTTTATTCTGATGATGATGATGACATCAAAGTGGAAGACAGAGAGGTACAACCCTGGGGAAACCTCCTATCGATCACACACCCTGCAAGTACCGCACGCTCGCTTTCTCTTCCTCCCATCTTGTATTGGCAAAGTCCTCCAGACTCCTTATAAATGTACTTAGCCACCTCATGAAGTGTGGTTGAAAAGGGAGAAGTTTTTAGTTTTTAGCTGAACCCAAACTCTTAAAATATTCATGAGCCTGAATCTCTATAGAATAGTATTGAAGACAGACATGCAGCCATAAAACAGAATGACAGAGACAGGCCTTGCAATGTGTGCCTTTTCTGAGCTTCAGTTTTCCTTCCCATACAACAGGAGCTGACACTAAGCCCCACACAGCTCACTCAGCAGTCCCTGAGACTCAGTGAGACCCTGGAGCTGACTGTGCTCATAAATTATGTTTCCAAATACCAGGGACGTTTTTAATCATTAGAGAACATGCACAACAGTTACAATGGCAAACCATATCCTTCACATTATCCCACAGGAGGTCTAATAGTAGGTGGCACAGGGGAAGGATTAAGAGATAAACTACAAGCTTCCTATTAAAAACAGAGGATGATCATTCTCAGCAAACTAACACAGAAACGGGAAACCAAACACCGCATGTTCTCACTCGTAAGTGGGAGTTGAACAATGAAAACACATGGACACAGGGAGGGGAACATCACACACCAGGGCCTGTCAGGGGGTGGGGGGCAAGGGGAGGGAGAGCATTAGGACAAGTACCTAATGCATTTGGGGCTTAAAACCTAGATGATGGGTTGATAGGTGCAGCAAACCACCATGGCACATGTATACCTGTGTAATAAACCTGCACTTTCTGCATATGTATCCCAGAACTTAAAGGAAAATAAAAATAAAACAGAGGATGCTGCCTGGTGTGTGTGCTACCACTCTCCCTCTCACACTCATGGCGGACTTATCTAATTGAGCACAGAGCTCTCTCAGGGTCACAAGGACCAATGTGATTGTTATAAAGGAGAAGACAAGGTTGGGGAAAGGAATTACCAGAATAGGGATAAACTCAGAGAGGAAACTGTGATCAAGATTTTTTTTTTTTAGACGGAGTCTCGCTCTGTCACCCAGGCTGGAGTGCAGCGGTGTCATCTTGGTTCACTGCAACCTCCACCTCCAGGGTTCAAGCAATTCTCCTGCCTCAGCCTCCTGAGTAGCTGGGATTACAGGCGCCTGCCGTCATGCCTGGCCAATTTTTGTATTTTTTAGTAGCGAAGGGGTTTCACCATGTTGGTCAGGCTGGTCTCGAACTCCTGACCTCAAGTGATCCACCCACCTCGGCCTCCCAAAGTGCTGGGATTACAGGCATGAACCACTGCACCCAGCCGGTCAAGATTTATATGATGCTAAGTCATGAGTCTGCTGGCCTAGATAATGCCACTCATATTTACTGGTCCAGAGGCAGAATTATTCTTTAAATCTGGATGTATGCTCAGCCTGGGTGTAGAAGCTAAGGAATTTCAGATTAGGCCTTTTGAAATCCTTTCTGGACCAAGGACATACATCAATCATTCCATCAATCCCCACACAGGAAAATTACAGTGATACAGAGTCAGGGTTATAGGTTATGCTTACTCCACTACGACCATCACTAACAACAGCAACCACTGCTAGTACGTAAGTTATCTATTGCTGTGTAACAAATTACCCCCAAATTTAACAGCTTTAAACAATAAATATTTATCATCTCACATGATTTCTAAAAGCCAGAAATCTAGGAGCAGCTCAGCTGGGTGGCCATGGCTCAGGGTCTCTCATGAGGTTGCAGTCAAGATGTCAGCTAGGGCTGCAGTCATCTGAAGATGTGATTGGGGCTGGAGAATCTGCTTCCATAGTAGCTCACTTATATACCTATTGACAAGGGGCCTCAGTGCCTTCACATTTAGACCTCTTCATAGGGCTGCTTGAGTATCCTCACAACATGGTAGCTGGCTTCCTTCAGAGCAATGGCAAGGTGGAAGCTGTGATGCCTTTTATGACCTAACTTTGGAAGGGGAATTAAGCTTCACATATTAGAGGGAGGGTGTCAAAATTTTGTGAACCTATTTTAAAACCACTAAAAGTATCACCAGAAATGCCTATGAAACATAGTGGGAATTGGGGAGGGGGAGATTGACAGGTAAAATGCTCTACCTCGACAAGCTTCTGTGTTCTAGATATAATGTGTTTGACACCAATGTAGTATACTTAGAGTATGACTGCTAGTAGATGGATGGTGCATTGTATGTTTTCAAGCCAGAAGGGACCTTCCAGATTCTCTATCCAACCTTGTAATTTTACAAAAGGGAAAACTGAGGCCCATAGAGGAGCTGAGATTCTCCCAGGTTAAGGTACCCTGATTTCCTGACTCTGGGGCCACAATATTTCTCTGTAGTTCTTGCAGGGCTGCTTGTGAAAGGGCTTTTTCCAAGATTAGGCTGAGATGCCCTAAAGAAGAAAACAAGTTCCAGAGAGGATGATTTCAGGGAAAATAGAGACAAAATGAATTTTGGAGATTCTCAGGACCTGCTGAGACCAGCTTCTGGCCTTGAGATGAGCTGCCCTCCTTCTAGAGGATGGCCAAGAGTGAGGCTGGCCAGGAGAAGGGGAAATGAGCCCAGCTGCCTCAATCCACCTCACAGTAGCCAGGGCAGTAATTGTTTCTTGATGTTTAACATTAACCAGAAACCCCTGCTATATGGCCAGTTCTTAGGAACTCAGGAACACAAGGATCAGCTCAAGCCAAGAGTTTAAAATGACAAACAGACAGAGGTAGTGAGAGAATATTTTATACTGTTTTCCAGGTTGTTTATTATGTATTTTATACATTTTACGCATCTTTATGCTCTATAACAATTTGACATGCTCGCAGTACTTTATAGGTTTTAATTACATAAGTGACGAAGGAGCTGTTTATATCTAAGATCTTATCCAACCTTCCTAAGGACCCTGGGAAAGTAACAAAAGTAATAGTTATTCTTCCAATGGTTATCAGCAGAGTGGAGGAGCCCACAGCTCTGGAATCAGACTGCCAGGGTTCAGATCTTGCCTCTACCATGTACTAACTGTGTGATGTTGGGGAGAATCATTTAACTTCTCTTTGTCTCAGTTTCTTTATTGGTAAAATGTAAGTGATAATAGTATCTGCCTCATGAGATTGTTGGGAGAGGTTAACAAGTTAATATTTGTAGAACACAACAGGGCCTGTTTCATTCTCCAAACTTTGTGGGGCCATTAGTCACTACTGCTACCAGATGCTTTAGGTCACACATGGTCTCTAGGGCATGAAGGACAGGTATTGCCGTTCAGAGACTTGTCCAAGATCACACAGTAATCTGGCCAAATTTCCAAACCCAGAAAGTTAGACTAGAAGATCTCCGATGTATCATTCAAGTACTTATCCTCCGTGCCTCAGAAGGTTGGGCATGAACTGTAAACAAATATGCAGAATCAGTCCTTCTTTTATTCCATTAAATTCAAAAAGACCTGGATAGGGAGATTACATAGCTTAATATAAACACGAGTTTAATCTCCACAACAGTCCCAGGAGATTGGTATGTACATCGTTATCTCCATTTGACAGATGAAGAAAGTGAAGCACAGAGAGTCTAGATGATACAACTGGTAAACCACAGAGCCAAGTTCTGACACAGGTATGCTGACTCCAGAGGCCACTGTTCTTACCTGCCTCACTGCATCCTAACTGAAGGGTTTCCTTGCAGTGGCACTGATTGAAACATCGGATGAAATGAAATGCTCAATGGAAATCAATCGGCAGCAAAGGGCTTGATTCTCCATTGTATACTTTGCCATTCTTTTAGCAGCCTCTGTTTGTGCCATCTGTGCTCTGTGTTCCAAGCATAGGACTGGGTGACACTGGCATTAGAGTCAGAAAAGCCACATTATATATTTTTTCATGCACCTAATCCATGGCTGCCCACTGTCCCTGAATTTGCCATCCACAGTCCTGCTTTTTTGTCTTTGCCTGTGTTCATCCTTCTGCCTCGAATGTGCTCTGCCCACATCTTAATTTGGAGAACGCCTTCTCCTCCTATAAGGGTCACCCACTCTGTGTAGTCTTCTCTGATTTTCCAGGTTTCCCAGAGTTGTTCCATCCTCTGTGATTCCTCAGATTTTGCACTTTCTGGTAGGCACACAGTGCTCCATGGTAACACGTGTCCTCTTTCTCCATGACCTTTCAACCATGTGTGACTTGAGGGCAGAAACTGAGTCTTCTTCAACTTTGAATCTGCAGTGCCAAGGAGAGGACAGGTTCATGGTAGAGGCTCAATAAGCCTGAACTGATCAACTAAATAAATGAAAGCCCTTTTCCTGAAAGGGTTTCTGTGATTCTATGTGATATTTTTCTCCAGAACATGTGGTTTTCAGGCCAGAGCATGGCTTTCCCACTACTTCCCTTGTAAACAACTCTATAAGAGTTTGGCTTCCTGGAATTTTGCCTGCATTTTCCTTATAATTACATCCCAATTGTTTCCTATTTGTTTGACACCTCTTAATTCCCTGGCTTCTTCCTTGTCTAAAAGTTGCCGGCTGTACTCTGATTGCTGGGCTGTTCTAGTCTGGATTGACCTCCTCTCATCAGACAGGCCCTGTGGGCAGAAATTTCTGTTTGGGGGCAGTTTCCTGAAATTTCAGCCTAGGCCAGATCATGGGCTTTGGGCTTTATCACTTATTTGGTAAATGAACGTGCTATTTCACTTTGCTAAACTTCCATTTCCTCACCTGTAGAATGGGATCACTTCTATCTTCTTCCGTAGGATGTTTTGAGGATTTAATAAGTTGTAAATATGCAAAATACTAGCACATACTAGGCACTTAATAAATGCTCTAGTCTCTTTCCCTATGCAGACAGGATCTGCTTTTTCCTGTAATGCACTGCATTATCCATAAAACAGGGAAAAGAATACTTACTGTGCACAGTTATGAGAAATAAAGTCCATAGAATGATTTTAATTATTGTGGACACATCCCCACCTAGCACCCTCCTTTGACACCATGTTATTAAGCAGAAACTTACAAATAGATAAGTTATTTTTCTGTGGCTCAAACCACACTGCCCTGCACCTATTTGTTACACAAAAGCATGCTTGATGAACAAGTGCTATGAGAACAAGTATGGAAGAAGACTGATGAGCTCTCCTTGGGTAAGTGGGCAGGGCAGACTTCAGGAGACCAGGACTCACAGGGACAGAAGGGTGGGGAAGGTACAAAGCAGCCCTCCCTCCTCAGACCTCCAGACTGAGAGACAAGGCAGGGCTAAGAGTAAGGACTCGGAACACAGCCCTGCCTGAGGAAAGTAAATGTAAGACAATAAAAAGAAGGCTTTGAGAGAGAAAACCAAGGCTAAGTCCTGGAAGCGCCATTCACTAGCTGATCAACCTTGGGCAAATTTATGAGCCCCTTTCCTCACCTGTAAAATGGGTTGGATAATCCCAGCTTGTACCGTATAAGAGTTTTGCATCAAAATTACACAAGATAATGTACGTGGGCACAGTTTAAACTACAACATTGTGTGCCATTGGGAGGGAGTCTCTTAATAATCTTTTAGTCTGTTTTTAATCTTCAAGCCTGTAGGTCACCTGCCAACACACTTTGCCAAGAATTCCTTAAGATACCATCTGAAATGCTTCACCTAAATCCAAAATTCTAGGAGGCTTTCGTAAGAAGATTGGCAACCAGAGAATTCTCCAGTGCTTGTCCAGGAGAGTCTTATCTTAAACCACCTTTGCTGTTCCCTACAAAATGTTGACCATGTAAGGACAGAAGGGGAAGGAATACAGTCCATCATTCAGTATCCAGGGAGGATTGGTTCCAGGAACCACCCACAGATACCAAAATCCACAGATGTTCAAACCCCTTATATCAAATGGCATAGTGTTTGCATAGAATCTATGCACATCCTCCTGTATACTTTAAATCATCTCTAGATTACTTATAATACCTAGTTAAGTGTAAATGTTATGTAAATGGTTGTTATTCACTATTAGTTGTTTATTTGTATTTTCTTGTTATATTGTTTTTTTGTTTTTTTCCAAATATTTTTTATTTGTTGTTGGTTGACTCCTCAGACAAGAAACCCATGGACATGTAATTAAGCATCTGTAATTAATGCAATTAATTACATGACTGTAATTAATGCAATTAATTACATGACTGTAATTAATGCAATTAATTACATGACTGTAATTAATGCAATTAATTACATGACTGTAATTAATGCAATTAATTACATGACTGTAATTAATGCAATTAATTACATGACTGTAATTAATATGGTACATAATTATTCTCTTTATCATAAATTATCACTTCAAATACTAATATTGTCAAATTATTATCATTCTCTTTGCCATAAAAGCTAATCTTTTGTATTTTTAATTTGGATGTGGGATCTTGACAGGTGGGGTCATGCATAAATGAAATTGTATTTGAACATCCACACATGTTGCATACAGAACCTTGGACCCGTGCCCAGGCAATTCTTTCATGTGCTGCCATCCAAGAGGAGGTCTCATTTGAAAACTAACAACTGATATTCCTTCACCATCCAAGTGTAAACAGAACTCTGATCCAAGAACTTGCTATTGTGCATCTCTGGTGGGCATTAGCCCATGTTGAAAAATTCATCATGACTGGTGGTCACAGTGTTAGAAAAAAAATTATTATTTTTCTGTCCTCAAACCCTCAAAATAAGAGTAGGCATTCCATAAATGAAATCAATAAGTATGTGAAGCGCACTTTACAAATTTTTCTCTGATTCTCATAATGCCACCACAAAGTAGTTATTATTGTACCCATTTTACAGGTGAGAATGGTTGTAGGGTTGTCTTGAAGTAACTTTGGGCATCAATAGTGACAGAACCGAGAATGGGCTAGATGTTTATCATCACAACTCAGCAAATATTGTTTCAGTGTCAACCATGTAAAAAGTCACTTTAAGGCCAGGCGTGGTGGCTCACACCTGTAATCCCAGCACTTTGGGAGGCCAAAGCGGGCAGATCACTTGGGCCCAGGAGTTCCAGACCAGGCTGGGCAACATGGCAAAACCCCATCTCTACTAAAAATACAAAAATTAGCCAGGTATGGTGGTGCACCTGCAATCCCAGCTACTTGGGAGACTGAGGCACGAGCATTGCTTGAACCCAGGTGGTGGAGGCTGCAGTGAGCCGAGATTATGCCACTCCAGCCTGGGCAACAGAGGAGGACTCTGTATTCAAAAAAACAAAGTCTCTTTATTAAGATTGAAGATATGAGGATGAAACAAAACAAGTTTAGTCATTGCACTTGTGGAACTCACAGCTTGGAGGTGAAAACAGGTTCATCAGATTTACAATCACTTCTTTGTTGTGTAAGGGAGAGAGGTAACATAGTGCAAAAGGAGTTGACCTGGGTTGAGGTGGGGAAGAGAAGTAGGGTAGTCACAGCACAGCGGGAGTAAAATAGGGTCAGGGGAGTTTAGAGGGTAGAACTTTGCAGGCAGAGAGAGCAGAGAGGAGCAATTCAGGGCATAGGAGAGAGTAAAGGAGAAGCAGCAGGAGGGGTGGATCATGAGGGTGGGGAGCTGGGCAGAGCTGTCCAAGGGCTCCACCTCCATCCTGACACCTCCAAAGGGCCTCTTCAAGGTCTTCTCTGGGGACAGACATGCACAGATTAATGTGCCCCAACTTGCTTCTTACCCGCATTTATCCTCCTCACTGCAGCCTCAGTGGACATAATGCAATTCATTGCAAGGTGGTCCATGGTCCAAGTCAGGGATGTTGGTGCCCAGGTGTGGGCTGTGACGGTGGAGATGGGGAAGAGTGGATGAATTCAGGGATCCTGAGGAGGCAGCAGGACTCTGAAGCCACAGAAAAGCCCCAGCCTACTGCTGCCAGGGCACTGATGGGGGATGTTACGGAGATGAGGAATGAAGAGCAGGAGAAGGGCAAGGGGGAGTCCCAAGCCAGGGTGTCGGCCTGAATTACATTGTTTGCCAATGTGTACTTTTTTCTTTTCTTGTTCTTTCCTTTTATTTTTTCAATCATATGCATATGATACAAACTATTATCTTTTAAAAGTTTATACAGGATTGTAACCCTGTTTTATATATGGGAAAAGGCTGACTCCCTGTGGGTTTTCTGTATTTTCATATTGACATAATTCAAACAATGTGATGAATCAACTCTCTGTAATTTCTGAAGCTGGACTCAGAGAAGCTGAGTTTTATGGAAACTTTATTGAGCTGTGCCCTGGGGCTGGGTGGCAATCCTTGGGGAAAAGGGTATTTGGGGGTAGGATTTACACACTGTTCACTGTGTTCCGGAGCATTCTTCCCTCCAGAAATTAACATGAATGTTGTATGGCATATGAGGAAAACTTAGGGGTTAAGTGACTTGCTTATGGACACCCAGCTGGTAGGTGGTAGAATCTGCTAACTCCAAGTCCAGGGCTCCTTCCCTGAAGGTGTGCCCCTCCCAGGAACAGATGACACAAACCCGGCTCTGAGGAAGGAGGAGGCTTCTGGGGTATTTTTCCTGTCTCTCCAGCTTTTCCAGGCTGTTTATTTAACCTGAGTGGGTCTCTTCACTGCGCCTGAGCATCCCCTTTCCCAGGCACATTAAGGAGCAAGCAGGGGCTGCTCCCCTTGGAATCCATTTTCTCTTCTGATAAAGACCTTCCCAAGTTGGCAGACAGAGCATCAGGCTTCTAGCCCTGACTCCAGGGCCAGTGTTCTTCTCCCACTCCCCACAGCTTCAGTGAGATAATTCAACTGATGAACAAAGGAATCATGTGTTCAACCTAAGAGTCTCTTCCAAATCTAAGCAGATAAGAGGGAATATTCAAATCTTAGACTCTCAAAGGCAGCTAGGGGATTTGATCTTCCTTTTCTGGAATAGGTCGGCATTACTATCCATTTTACACATGAAGAAAAAGAGATTTGGGAAATGTGAGTAATTTGCCTGGGATATTTAGTAACATGGTCAGGATTTGAACCCAAGTTTCAGCTGTAAGAGTCCCCAGCACAGTCTTCAGCAATAGTAGGTGTTCAAGATGTTTGTTCCCTTGCATGCTTCCAACTCTCTGCTGATCCTGCCCCTTCTCTGGAAAGTAGACACCTATCGGCATTTTTCCAGAGTGAAAGCAGCTGTTCCCTGGGTACCTGTGCCTTTGTCTCAAAGTTGTGCCATAAGTATACCTCTAAGGAATTAACAAGCCCGCATATGGTATAGGGTAGATGGGAGGCTGCACTAAGGTGGCATAAAAGATTTTTAATAGAGCTTTACAGGAGTGAACCCTCTGGCCAGGCAGGGTAGGGAGTGAGGCAGAGGATTGGGGTGGAAAGATGAGCAGATCTGACAGGTGGACAGTCAGCTCTGATGGAGAAAGAGGAGCTAAGAAAAAGCCACAGCCTCCACGGGAGAGTGCTGAGCTCAGATCCTGGTGCTGGGACTCACCATGTGACCCAGGGCAAGTTCCTTCCCTCATGAAACTTACCTATGCATTAACGAATCTGCATGTAAGAAAATGTTCTAAAAGCAGACATGAGAAAGGGAAGAGGGAGGAGGAGAGGAAGAATGGATTGGTTCAATCAGTGCAGGTTCACAGTGAGGCCAGAAGATCATCCCCACTCCATACCTCCTCCCACCCTGTACCCTGTGAGCAGATAGCAAACAGGCATCCCCTTGCCCCCACACTGACCATGCACACTCAATAGTTGTGCATAGGCTGTTCTTGCTAACAGGAAAGGTTTTTGTTCTCTTCTCTGCCTGGAAAACTCATAATCCATTTTTCAGGTCTCAGGTCATGTCACCTCCTCCATGAAGTCTTCCTTGACTCCTCTCTCACCTCCACCCACCCTCAGACACTCATACCTTTGAGTTTTTACAGCATTGTATATACTCCAAGGACAGCATTTATTACCTTGTTATTATTGTAGTAGTACTATTACTAGTGGCATAAAGTACTATTTAAGGAACACTTTTTGGGGGGGGCCAGACATAGTGTTATGGTCTTTTTACAAATTATGTATCATTTAAATTTCATCACTATGCCATAAATTAGGTATTTTCTTCTCAACTTTAAAAGTAAGGAAACTAAGGCTCCAAGAGGTTGGTGGTTTTACTACTGTGTAACTCAAGCAAGGGACAATGCCTGTATTTAGGGCCAGGTCTGATTCCTTTATAATTCCCTACTGTTGTTCAGCCTGAACAAAGAAGTAATAATAGGTGATAAATGAAATGATGAATGAATGTCACCATGGAGTGAGGGAGGCTTAAATGTGAAGCATGGCTTTAAACAATCATTTTATTTTGCTGTGACCATCCCAGAACATCCTCACCTAGGTATAAAAGTAGACCTTAAGGATCATGTAAGTTAACCATAGGGAAAGATCTAGAGGAGCATGGGCTGACCTGGGGCACAGAGCTGCCTTTGGCACCTGTCCAGATGTATTTCCTAGCTTCTGGTGGGCAACCCTCTTCAAACCTCTACTTCCCAGAGCTCTGTGTTAGAGACTGGCCCGATTTTCTTCCCTGCAACAGAAACCTTTCTGTGTCTGTCCTTAGAGACAGAAGGCACACCAAACCTCTGTATTTCTTGGTTGTGCTCTCCCAATTAAGCAAAGAAGCCAACCGAAGACTCCCTGAGACAAACTAATTGCATCTTAACAGGCTCTGTGCCTGCCAGCTTTGGCCCAGATTCAGATTTTATAGGCCACTTCGCCCCACACCCAGGGTTTATGATGGAAATACTGACAAAGCTTCACTGATAAGGCAGCAGAGGACCCAGGAGACCAGAAAACCTAGTAATTTTCCAGAGTCTAAACCCAGCCTCTACTCCAGGGGCCCCTCACGAGGCAGGATTCTGAAGTGTCAGCCAAGAGGACCCTGGCACAGGGCTGTTTGTTTCCACTCCAATGCACTCCAGAAATTTGGTAGGATACCTTGCTGGGATTTTTAATGGCAAGTTTCTCCTTCGGCATCACCTGGTATCCAATTAGTTTTCCCATTCTTTGGGCTGCTCAATCATCCCTTCATTTGTTCAATCATTCCTCAAATTCTGAACTCCTCTGCCAGGCTGTGCTGGACACTAAAAAGAAGTACTACTTGGGTGATTAATTTTAAAGGCTACTCTATTAAGGTCACTCCACTCAGCCAGGTATTCATTGAATGACTTCTCAAGGATCACAGTTCCCATCAAGCCTGCCATGTGGACTTTGTGCAGTTTGTGCACTGCACAACTCTAGGGGATGCCATTCACCTAGACTAGGATCACATCAAGTACCCTCTATAGAGAATACAGAAGAATAAAAACAAAACAGAAAATGAAAATACCATATATTCAGTCTATTATAGAAGGAAGAACGTTCAAAATAAACAAAGCTGCTGAGTCACTTAGCAATTCCCTAGCTCCTAGAAAAATTTATAATTTGTCTCCAAAAGAGAAAAACAAATCAGACATATCATTCCCTTGTTTAAAACAGGGCTTCTCAACCTTGGCACTGTTGATACTTTCGGCCAGATCATTCCTTTGTTGTAGGAGGCTGTCCTGTGCAATGGAGAATGTATAGCAATGCTCTTGGCCTCTACCCACAAGATACCAGTAGCAACTTCCCCCTCACCATTGTGACAACCAAAAATGTCTCCAGATGTTGCCAAATGTCCCAGCAGAGGTGGGGGAGAGAAAGAGGCAAATCATCCTTAGTTGGGTCAATGGTTTAAAATAACCTTCTGTCTCACTTTCTATAATACCTTCCATGGCCCTCTAAGTGAAGTCCAAGACACAGGTTTTCATGCTGCTTATCAGTCCTGCCTCATCACTGGCTATTCTGCCATACCTTTGCCCATGCACTTTCCCCTGCATGCAAACATCAGCCCCACCTCCACCTCCCATCTCACCTGGTTTAACTCTCCTTGTCCTGCAAGACTCAGCTTGGGTCCCCGAACTCGTGAAGCCTGTGTTGACCCATCCCCTCTCCCTCAGCAGTTGAAATCAGCCCCTCTGTGGAATCCTTGGCACCCCAGCATCTCTCTACTCAACACTTAGACTTGTGGGAGTATCAACTCCTGTGAAATTATTTGCGGATTTGGGGGCAGTAACTATGTATCCCCAACACTTAGTAAAGTCCTGGCTCAGATTTATTTATTTAGAAATTGTTCTATCTTATTCAAGATGGATGAAGGATTAAAAAATAAAATAAAAGCCCACACCCTCTACCAGCATGCCCTGCAGAATTATCTATGACTTTTTGCCAGAGAGCCAGTGCTTTCAACTCCATTGCTAACCAGCTTTCTGATCTTAGGCAAGTTCGTTCAGCGCTCTAGTCTGCCTCAGTTTCCTTATATGTAAAATGGGAATCTCTTTGGTCTTCCTCTCTCATGATGATTTTAAGGCACAAATTAATTATATGACCCCTTAGTAAACTGCCATTCATTGTACGAATGTGAGATGTTATTATACTGCTAAATAATAAGATCCTCGAAAACATAAATGTGAATTGAAGCAAATATATTAGAAGAATTCTTTCTTTATATGGAAAGTTGGCCATATCCTGAATGTAAACAGCGTTTTATTTGTTTGGATTTTTTTGTTGTTTTTGTTACTTCAAAAAACAAGCCTTACCATTTGCTGATCCCTACCCTACCGAGACTCTTAGTATTTCAATTAAGGAATTTTTTATTTCCTCCTGGGCTGGAATTCCAGTAGTTTCTTCAATTTCTTTGAAGCAGGTCACACCTTTAACTGGAGGACATTTTTCTACCAGACATACAGCCTGTAGAACCTTCCATTTAAACAATTTTATAGAGTGATAATAACTAGGATAGAAAACTTTAGAAGAGGAGCTGCTTCTAAAATGTATTCTTCACTTCAAAGACAAAAAAAAATGCATTTGGTTTAAGAAAATGAAGTTGAAAGACATCTCTTAAGAATTTAGTGCTATTACAGGTTGAATTGTCTCCCACAAGAAAAGATATGTGAGGTTCTAACCTCCGGTACCTGTGAGTGTGATCTTATTTGCAAACAGTTTGCAGATATAACAGTTAAGATGAGGTCATACTGTTTAGGATAGGCCATAATATAATTGGCAACCTTATAAGAAGAGGATAAGAGACACAGACACAGAGGAGAAAGCCATGTGAAGACAGAGGCAGAGGTTGGAGTCATGCAGCTACAAACCAAGGGACATCAGGGATTACTGGCAACCATCGGGAAAGAGGCCTGGAGCAGATTCATCTTCAGCACCCCCAGAGAGAATGAGCCCTGCCAAAAGCTGGATTTTTGACTTCTAGTCTTCAAACTTATGAGAGCCAAGCATGGTGGCTCATACCTGTAATCCCGGCCCTTTGGGAAGCCAAAGCAGGAGGACAGCTTGAGCCCAGGAGTTCGAGGCCAGCCTGGGCAACATGGTGAGTCCTCATCTCTACAAAATAAATATATTGAAACATTAGCCAGGTGTGGTGGTATGCACCTATAGTCCCAGCTATTTGAGAGGTTGAGGTGGAGCAATGACTTGAGCCCAGGAGGTCAAGGCTGCAGTGAGCTGTGATCATGCCACTACACTTCAGCCTGGGTGACAGGTCAAGGTACTGTCTCAAAAAAAAAAAAAAAATTTATGAGAAAATAAATTTCTGGTGTTTTAAGCCAACCAGTTTGTGATATTTTGTTGGGGCAGTCCTAGGAAACTAACACAAGCACCCTATCCCAAATTATGAACTGTTTCCTCATATGAAGTCTTCCTTCACCCACAGTCTATTACAACATCTAGACAGAAAAATAGACAATAACAACAGATTGGGAGCCCTCACCCCTCAAGATGGAAAGAATTTAAAGAGTACTTACTACTTTTGACCCACTCTGTGTCTTCAGCACCCGTGATCATGAGAACACAGAGCAAAGGCTCAGTAAATGCTGGTTTTCTGAACAAAACTGAAGCAAGTCTCCATGAGACTTATAAAGCCTTAGGCTGAGGTTGACCAAGGAGAATAATTTTTCTCCAGTTACGAGGAGACAAAGTCAAAATGTGTGCCCTGAAGGAGAGTTCTGAAACCCAGTCTAGAGCATATCTCCAGGCAATGGGGCTGGCAATTAGTACACCAGGTGCTAAGGAAATAGGAAGAGTGAGGAAAGTGGGTCAGAACCTGCCAACCAGAAGTTGCCTTGATGATCACACAGATGAAGCACCCCGTCCTGGAGTGTATAGACATGCACACTTCTGGGGAGTATAGTGGCCATGGCTTAGTTTTTTGGCTGCGTGGTATTCAATCCCTATTCCTATTACAGAGGAGTCTTTCTTTATATATATATTATATATACTGTTAGTAGACACAGTGCCCTCCTTATTACTATCACAATTGAAGATGAAAGATGTTCTATAAGTGCATGCCTTGGAAGCCACAGCACAAACACATGACCTAGGCCCACCTGTCAGGCATGAGAGCAAGGGATGCAAAGTTGAAGGAGTAGTTAGATTTATTCACAGTGGGCACAACTGGATCCAGTTATAGTCACAGTGAGTAGGGAGTGATGTGAGTCACAGTGAGTAGGGAGTGATGTGAGGCCAACTTCCATCTCCCCAGACTAGAAGCATAACACAATACTGCTGTCCTCTTTCCCATTCCCCACTGATTTTTGTTGTTCTTGTTGTTGAGACAGAGACTCACTCTGTTGCCCAGACTGGAATGCAGTGGCGCGATCTCGGCTCACTTCAACCTCCGCCTCCCGGGTTCAAGCGATTCTCCTGCCTCAGCCTCCCGAGTAGCTGGGATTACAGGTGTGTGCCACCATGCCCGGCTAATTTTTGTATTTTGTTTTAGTAGAGACAAGGTTTCACCATGTTGGCCAGGCTGGTCTTGAACTCCTGACCTCAGGTGATCCACCCACCTCGGCCTCCCAAAGTGCTGGGATTACAGGCATGAACCACTGCACCCAGTCACCACTGATTTTTCTTCATGGGAAGAAGAGTCACATATGTAATTATCAAGTTTAGGGGAAGAAATTAGACTACTATTTCCTTCTCTTTTTTCAAACTAGCCTGCCTAAAGGGACACATAGATTTTACTTCTCCATGCCATGAGTTTACTGTGGCAGGTTCTAGCTGCAGGACAAGACCTGTGGTGGTTCTGCTATGCCAATGACCAGGAGGAAGTCAAAATTTAGGAATGAGATATAAGCAAACCCACTTGGCCTCAGATCTAAAGCCACATTCTCCAACCAGATTTTTCAACAATAAAAGCAGTGTTTTAATATGTGATTACTCTTTCTATCTCTCAATGGGCTTTAAGCTCAAATTGGGAAGAATGTTATTTACTGGGTACCAGGGAATTAAGAGGGAGAATTCTAGGCACTAATGTCATCACCAGTGTTTGACAGTTGAGGGATGATGTTGATTTTGAAGAAAGAGAATTAGGGGCTATCTCCAACACAAACTGCTATTCTAAATTTGCTCCTTACAAGAAGTAAATCATCAATGTCTGACTTGGTATATAATGACAAATATTTTTCTATACCTAGTATCAGAAAACACTGGAAGAAGTTTGCTTTCACCTAGGAGAAACAGCATATACTAGAAGAACAGATACACCTTTTCTGCCTCAAAGAAGTATAAAAACTCCTGGTCTGTGTCATAATTTAAGCCACAGGGACCTTGAATATATTCCCAACCCAGGTGGCAGAACATCAGTTCACTATGTCAATTGCATCATGTTGTTAGGACCAAAACATAGGAAACAGCAAGTACCATAGATGCTTTCGGTAGGACACATGCAAGCCATAAATCCTACAAAAAAAATCCTATGAAAATGTAGAGACTTTATTTCTGTGAATTCCATAAGTGCCAGCATTCGAAGACATTTTGCAATAGTCTCTCAAAAATGAATGTTAATTTGAGGTACCTTGTGCTTCCTACCACTTAGAAAGAGGCACAATAATTGCTGAGCCTTGGAATTTTGGTGGCAACATATACTACACTTGGATATGCTATGTTAACCCATTTGGGGAGTAAACTACCAGCTTGGAGTGGAGTACTCACTAGAAGGGGATCTCTGCCCAGCTCAGGCCATAATGCAGTCAGTGGTGCAGCTTGTATATGATGACCCAGCAGATCCAACAGTATTTCTTAGAATGCTGTCCAGCACCTATAGCAAGCCTCCAAGCAAGAATCACAATAAAAAGCCCTTGAAGTCTAAGGGCGAATCTGGGACCTATCTGGCAAATGATTATGCTCCTTTTATAAAGCACCTTTTGGATTGCTACTGGGCCCTTTTGGCAATTGAATAACTGAAAGTGGGACACAAGATAAGCCCTCACCCCAAGCTGAACACCATGAACTGAGTGTTAGGTCTTCCACCTGGCCAGAAAGTTGGCCAAGCCCAGCAGCAGGCCCTCATACATGAAAATAGCATCTGTGGAACCAAGCTTATAGGCTCATAAGGCACAAGCAAGTGGCAGAGGCAGGCTGCTCACACTCCCGCAATGCCCACTCCTGCCATAATTCATCTCCTCCAGTAACACATACCTACAGTTACATGGGAGACACCTCAGACTGGTGGACTGTGACAGAAATTCCACCCAGGAACCATAGAGAAGGGATATTTGCACAGGAAGCAAAACTTCAAGCAGTACCGTTTTAAGTCCACTTTGCAAAGGATGGAAGGAAGACAGGGAGGGAGGGAGGAAGAAAGGCAGACAATGGGTTTATGCCCATGGGATTCATTTGGTTTTAGAATAAGGCCATGAATAGAAGCTACTGTACTCACAGAATAGTGTCCTGGTGGGTTGAAGAATCATTACCCATGCCAGCAGGGTAACACCTCACAAGATGGGGTATTATCCTACAGAAAGTAATAAATACTCTCAATAGGGGAATAATTTTTGGTTCTGTTGCTGTCATAGCCAGAATAAAGCATCCAGAGCCAAGGGATAGAAGAAAGATTTGCACTTCTTGTGCCTCACTTATAACTTTTGCTTTCCATTCCTACAATTTGGGGATCTGTTAGTTTAGTGACTTGCGGGGAAGCTACGCTTTGGGGAGGAATGCTTCCACGAGGGGCCACAACAACCATCATGCTGAACTGGACCATCTGGTCATTTCAGATTCCTTATGCCCCTGAGAAAACAGGACAAGAAAAGAGGCAGTCACCAAACTGACCATAGTATATGATCCTGATTGTCAGAGAAAGATAGGATTGCCAACAATGGGAGCATGCAGTAGTAAGAATTAGGAACCGCCCCTCGCTCAGTGGCTCCTACTTCTGCCATATCTAGTAGTAAAATCAGTGGAAAACTTCTGCAGCCCCATACATACCAAGAGCTCATATCCCTCAAAACTAAATATTGGGGCAACCCACCAGGGTGACCAGTGAAGGGCTGGCTGAAGGCAAAAACAAAGCCAAACATTGAAATGGAATAATAAAGAGAAGCCACAAACACCAGTTATGCAGAAGTGAAGATCATAGCCTCTATCTACTTACTTCCTGATAGTGTCAAGTATTTGTATATTTTACTGCAGTTTCCTCTTCTTTACTCTCCATTTTCCCCACTATTACATATGTGGCTAATAGTAACAGTGAACTTTACAATTAATCCTTGGGCTTTAGAAAGAACTGGAGGCATAGTAGGGATGCAGTAGCTGGTCAGGCTTTTGTTTTTATTCTTTTGGGAGAGGCTGAGACCATTTTTAGTTGTAAGAAAAATGTGTGTGTGTGTGTGTGTGTGTGTGTGTGTGTGTGTGTGTGTGTGTGTGTTGGATGAACAGATATGGAAAGATGGATTTGTGTGGAGGTGGGACATTCAAATCAACAGAATATACATTTTTTTCCGCACCACACCATACCTATTCCAAAATTGACCACATAGTTGGAAGTAAAGCTCTCCTCAGCAAATGTAAAAGAACAGAAATTATAACAAACTATCTCTCAGACCACAGTGCAATCAAACTAGAACTCAGGATTAAGAAACTCACTCAAAACCGCTCAACTACATGGAAACTAAACAACCTGCTCCTGAATGACTACTGGGTACATAACGAAATGAAGGCAGAAATAAAGATGTTCTTTGAAACCAACGAGAACAAAGACACAACATACCAGAATCTCTGGGACACATTCAAAGCAGTGTGTAGAGGGAAATTTATAGCACTAAATGCCCACAAGAGAAAGCAGGAAAGATCCAAAATTGACACCCTAACATCACAATTAAAAGAGCTAGAAAAGCAAGAGCAAACACATTCAAAAGCTAGTAGAAGGCAAGAAATAACTAAAATCAGAGCAGAACTGAAGGAAATAGAGACACAAAAAACCCTTCAAAAAATTAATGAATCCAGGAGCTGGTTTTTTGAAAGGATCAACAAAATCGATAGACCGCTAGCAAGACTAATAAAGAAAAAAAGGGAGAAGAATCAAAAAGACGCAATAAAAAATGATAAAGGGGATAGCACCACCAATCCCACAGAAATACAAACTACCATCAGAGAATACTACAAACACCTCTACGCAAATAAACTAGAAAATCTAGAAGAAATGGATAAATTCCTCGACACTTACACTCTCCCAAGACTAAACCAGGAAGAAGTTGAATCTCTGAATAGATCAATAACAGGAGCTGAAATTGTGGCAACAATCAATAGCTTACCAACCAAAAAGAGTCCAGGACCAGATGGATTCACAGCTGAATTCTACCAGAGGTACAAGGAGGAGCTGGTACCATTCCTTCTGAAACTATTCCAATCAATAGAAAAAGAAGGAATCCTCCCTAACTCATTTTATGAGGCCAGCATCATCCTGATACCAAAGCCTGGCAGAGACACAACAAAAAAAGAGAATTTTAGACCAATATCCTTGATGAACATCGATGCAAAAATCCTCAATAAAATACTGGCAAACCGAATCCAGCAGCACATCAAAAAGCTTATCCACCATGATCAAGTGGGCTTCATCCCTGGGATGCAAGGCTAGTTCAACATGCAGAAATCAATAAATGTAATCCAGCATATAAACAGAACCAAAGACAAAAACCACATAATTATCTCAATAGATGCAGAAAAGGCCTTTGACAAAATTCAACAACCCCTCATGCTAAAAACTCTCAATAAATTAGGTATTGATGGGACGTATCTCAAAATAATAAGAGCTATCTATGACAAACCCATAGCCAATATCCTACTGAATGGGCAAAAACTGGAAGCATTCCCTTTGAAAACTGGCACAAGACAGGGATGCCCTCTCTCACCACTCCTATTCAGCATAGTGTTGGAAGTTCTGGCCAGGGCAATTAGGCAGGAGAAGGAAATAAAGCATATTCAATTAGGAAAAGAGGAAGTCAAATTGTCCCTGTTTGCAGACGACATGATTGTATATCTAGAAAACCCCATTGTCTCAGCCCAAAATCTCCTTAAGTTGATAAGCAACTTCAGCAAAGTCTCAGGATACAAAATCAATGTACAAAAATCACAAGCATTCTTATACACCAATAACAGACAAACAGAGAGCCAAATCATGAGTGAACTCCCATTCACAATTGCTTCAAAGAGAATAAAATAAATACCTAGGAATCCACCTTACAAGGGACATGAAGGACTTCTTCAAGGAGAACTACAAACCACTGCTCAATGAAATAAAAGAGGATACAAACAAATGGAAGAACATTCCATGCTCTTGGGTAGGAAGCATCAATATTGTGAAAATGGCCATACTGCCCAAGGTAATTTATAGATTCAATGCCATCCCCATCAAGCTACCAATGCCTTTCTTCCCAGAATTGGAAAAAACTACTTTAAAGTTCATATGGAACCAAAAAGAGCCCGCATTGCCAAGTCAATCCTAAGCCAAAAGAACAAAGCTGGAGGCATCACACTACCTGACTTCAAACTATACTACAAAGCTACAGTAACCAAGACAGCATGGTACTGGTACCAAAACAGAGATATAGATCAATGGAACAGAACAGAGCCCTCAGAAATAACGCCGCATATCTACAACTATCTGATCTTTGACAAACCTGAGAAAAACAAGAAATGGGGAGAGGATTCCCTATTTAATAAATGGTGCTGGGAAAACTGGCTAGCCATATGTGGAAAGCTGAAACTGGATGCCTTCCTTACACCTTATACAAAAATCAATTCAAGATGGATTAAAGACTTAAATGTTAGACCTAAAACCATAAAAACCCTAGAAGAAAACCTAGGCATTACCATTCAGGACATAGGCACAGGCAAGAACTTCATGTCTAAAACACCAAAAGCAATGGCAACAAAAGCCAAAATTGACAAATGGGATCTAATTAAACTAAAGAGCTTCTCTACAACAAAAGAAACTACCATCAGAGTGAACAGGCAACTCACAAAATGGGAGAAAATTTTCACAACCTACTCATCTGACAAAGGGCTAATATCCAGAATCTACAATGGACTCAAACAAATTTACAAGGAAAAAACAAACAACCCCATCAAAAAGTGGGCCAAGGACATGAACAGACACTTCTCAAAAGAAGACATTTATGCAGCCAAAAAACACATGAAAAAATGCTCACCATCACTGGCCATCAGAGAAATGCAAATCAAAACCACAATGAAATACCATCTCACACCAGTTAGAATGGCAATCATTAAAAAGTCAGGAAACAACAGGTGCTGGAGAGGATGTGGAGAAATAGGAACACTTTTACACTGTTGGTGGGAGTGTAAACTAGTTCAACCATTGTGGAAGTCAGTGTGGGGATTCCTCAGGGATCTAGAACTAGAAATACCATTTGACCCAGCCATCCCATTACTGGGTATATACCCAAAGGACTATACATCATGCTGCTATAAAGACACATGCACACCTATGTTTATTGCGGCACTATTCACAATAGCAAAGACTTGGAACCAACCCAAATGTCCAAAAATGATAGACTGGATTAAGAAAATGTGGCACATATACACCATGGAATACTATGCAGCCATAAAAAATGATGAGTTCATGTCCTTTGTAGGGACATGGATGAAGTTGGAAATCATCATTCTCAGTAAACTATCACAAGAACAAAAAACCAAACACCGCATATTCTCACTCATAGGTGGGAATTGAATAATGAGAACACATGGACACAGGAAGGGGAACATCACACTCTGGGGACTGTTGTGGGGTGGGTGGAGGGGGGAGGGATAGCATTGGGAGATATACCTAATGCTAGATGACGAGTTAGTGGGTGCAGCACACCAGCATGGCACATGTATACATATGTAACTAAACTGCACATTGTGCACATGTACCCTAAAACTTAAAGTATAATAATAATAATAATAATAATAATAAAGAGGTAGGCATAGGGGGACATTTGTTAGCTCTTCTTGGCTGCCCAGCCACATCTCTTTTTAGTTGGAGGGAAACCCCAGAGTGAGGAGCAACCTATCGTCTCTATCAAAGCCTGAGTAGCAGGGAAACCCTCCCTCTTCCCTGCCCCAGCTGCCAACAAAGTTGGCCAGATGAGTGAGGCCTGGGGTTCATTCACACCCACTGTCCATGGTGAGGGCACTGATGGATGACTGACCTAGCCATCTTCCAAAAGATGAATGTTTGCTTCTTGCTATTTGTCTCCCTGATCATCAGATCAGGGAGATCTGATGATCTCCTTTGATTGATTAAAATCCTTTGATTTCTTTCTAGTTCTGAAATCTGGTCCTCTAGAATCTGCTGAATCTGGAGTCTCCAATTCCCTTCCCATAATTTTGCGGAGGGTAGGAACTAATTTTCATTGGTTGGAACTGAGAACCTTCCGAAAGTAGTGTGACTCTAAGTACGTGGTTGATCTAGATTCACTTGACGCGTCCCGGATAGAGCAGATGATGAAAAGAAGCTTTTAAGTACTGGCTACAATAGCAAAGTCATGTAACCAATCTAAGTGTCCACCAACAGTTGATTAGATAAAGTAAATGTGATACACATATGGCATACTACACAGCCATAAAACAGAGTGAAAGCATGTCCTCTGCAGCAACATGGATGGAGCTGGAGGCCATTATCCTATGTGAACTAACTCAGAAGCAAAAAATCAAACATCCCATGTTCTCACTTATAAGTGGGAGCTAAACAAAGAGTACATAAGATGGGGACATAGACATAAACATGTCCATAAACATGGACATAAACATGGGAAAAACAGACTCTAGGGACTCTAAAGGGAGGAAAGCAGGAGGAGGGGGAGGGTTGTAAAACTATCTACTGGGTACAATGCCCAATATTTGAGTGATGGGTACACTAGAAGCCCAATCCCCACCATTATACCTATAATACCCATGTAACGAACACCACATGTACTCCTGAATCTAAAATAAAAAAATAAAAATGGAAGATTTTAACAGATATTAGTTGGCATTATGTTCTAGCCACCGTGGGGAGAGGCTGGTCCCTTCACATGCATGCAAGATCTCTTTCTACCCACTACAACCCTATGAAGTCAATAGTATTCTTATGCCCATTTTAAAGATGAGAAAACTGTGGCACAGAGGGGTTAAGTAACTATTGCAAGTCACACAGCTAGAATGTAGAGGTGTGTGTACAAGTGTGTGTAAGAACATGGGCTTCAAGGAAGACCCAACTCCATGAAGGGCCCTGGAATCTGCATCTCCTGGAATCTCATCTGACCTATGCTCTCCTTCCTCTCAGGAGAATGTCTTCTCCAAGCAGCTATTTTTATGGGAACCAGAGGATACTGACCAGAGGAAGATAAGGAGCCTTTCCTTCACATGGGTCTAAGAAACTCACCATTTTCCTCAACATCTGACCTGACAACTGGTTTCCCAGCATTGGCCCCAAGAAATACCACCTGCCATCGCTACCTGGATTCTGCAGCCCCCAAAGCCACAGCCTTCCACCTTCCTTCCCCAGCAAGACAAATGGGGTAACCTGTTTGTAGCATCCTCAGGAGTCCTTGGGGGGAGGAGAACCTGACGGAGATGAGAAGATAGGCCACGCCCAGCTCCAACGAGTGGCACACGTGTAAGCATTTAAGCATTTAGGCTGGCTGAGGGTGGCAGTCCTGACCTCTGTTTTTAAGGAAGCCTGCCCAGGGTTTTATAGTCCAGGGTTCCTTGTGATCCTCAAGGCTTCCTTTACTCCTACCCCTGAAAAAACTCCAAGGGAAGAACTTCAAAGCTGCTTTCTCTTTATAAATCTCACAGCCTGGGGACATTCTGCCCACCCAAGTAAAACCCCCAGATCTATGATGCATCTGGAGGTTTCCAAGGCTTCCCTGGCTTTATTGGATAGTCTCTTCCCAACAGCCCTTGGGGTTCTTGTTCAATGAGCTTACTTAGCCAGGTTGTACATTCTATCCAAATACTACCTATCCTTAGGCACTTCCCCTGAGACATCACATCTCCAGGAAGCCTCCCTCAGACTGGTTGGGTTCCCCAGAGCACTTTGCCCTTAGCTCTAGTAAAGCACAGGTACATCATGATGGTTAGTATTGAGTATCAACTTGATTGGATTGAAGGATGTGAAATACTGTTCCTGGGTGTGTCTGTGAGGGTGATGTCAAAGGAGATTAACATTCGAGTCAGTGGACTGGGAGAGGCAGACCCACCCTCAATCCGGGTGGGCAGCATCTAATCAGCTGCCAGCACAGCTAGGATAAAGCAGGCAGAAGAACGTGGAAAAACTAGACTTGCTGAGTCTTCAGCCTTCATCTTTCTCCCATGCTGGATGCTTCCTGCCCTCAAACATCAGACTCCAAGTTCTTCAGCTTTGGGACTCCTGGACCTACATCAGTGGTATTCCAGGGGCTCTTGGGCCTTTGGCCACAGACTGAAGACTGCACTGTTGGCTTCCCTACTTTTGAGGTTTGGGGACTCAGACTGACCCACCACTGGCTTCCTTGCTCCTCAACTTGTAAACGGCCTATTGTGGGACTTTGACCTTGTGATCGTGTGAATCAATTCTCCTTAATAAAATCCCTTTCCTATATACATATAGCTGATGATTTCTGTCCCTCTAGAGAACCCTGACTAATATATACATCCTCAAGTGTCTAAGGTCTTCTAGGCCAGCAGTTCTCTATAGAGGGCAATTGTTGAGACCTTGGGCAACGTCTGGAGACGTTTTTGGTTGTCACAGATGGGCAGGATGCTACTGGCATCTCATGGGAAGAGCCCAGGGATGCTGCCAAACATCCTACAATGCACAGGACACTCCCCACAAGAAAGAATAATCTGGCCCCAAATGTCACTAGCAGGACTGGTTTCATGGGCAGGCCACCTGAGCAGTAGACAGGGCCCCACTTTCAGAAAGGATCTGCATTTGTTTAATGCTATGTTACTGCCATGTTGGTATTCTTAGTAACTTTTGAACAAGAGTCTCTGTATTTTCGTCTGGTACTGGGTCCCACAAATTATGCAGCTGGTCCTGGTCAACAGTGTAGAGGCTGAGAAACCCTGTTCTTGTTCTATAATAGGGGTGTCCAAATTAAGATGTTATTCCTGCCCTCAAGGAGCCATTATCCAGTGATAGAGAGGGAATTGTGTGTTTCCCTGTCTGTGTGCTGGGACAGGGAAGCTTGGAGGAGGGAGTGCCTGACCCAACTTGGAACTAATTCCTGAGGGATGAGTAGGAGTTAACCACACGGAGAGGAGAGGAGAAAAGGGTCCTAACAAAGACACAGCATGTTCCAAGACATCAGGCTCTAAGAAGGTCAAGGCTGTGTCAGGGACTCTAGGAAGTTCTGTACAGCCAGAAGACAGAGAATGGCAAGATGAGAAGCCATGCTGGAAGGTTAGTAGAAGCCAGGTCTCAGTCACATTAAGGAGCTTTTGGAGGACCTTAAGTAAAGTAGTAACACAATTAGATTTAGTTTGAGAAAGACAATCAGAGGTGGTATGGCAAGTAGATTGGAGGATGAGACATTGAACAGGGAGACCAGGTTAGAACTGGAACAGTAAAAGCACTAAGAAATGCTAGAGCTGAATGCAGTAAGGCCTCACAAATTATGCAGCCAGTCTGGCAGCAGTACAGCAGGGAGAGAGAAATGGACTCAAAAGATGAAGAGGTGGAATAGGATTTGATGGTTACTAAGTGGATGCCATGTTTATTTTTATTAGCTTTTTACTATCTCTTTTTTTTTTTTTTTTTTTTTTGAGACAGAGCCTTGCTGTTGTCACCCAGGGTGGAGTGCAATGGTACAATCTCGGCTCACTGCAACCTCCGCCTCAGCCTCTTGAGTAGCTGGGATTCCAAGTGCCTGCCGCCACACCCAGCTAATTTCTGTATTTTTAGTAGAGACGGGTTTCACCATTTTGGCCAGGCTGGTCTTGAACTCCTGACCTCAGGTGATCCACCCACCTCGGCCTCCCAAAGAGCTGGGATTACAGGTGTGAGCCACCGCACTTTGCCTTACTATCTCTTTTCATCCTAACAACAGATTTACAAGGGACATGGCATTTTCCTTGTTTTACCATTGAGACGATTGATGCTGAGGAGATTAAATAACTTGAGAGAAGTCACCCAGCTGGTTAGTGGCAGAGCCAGCATTTGAAGGTAGGCATGTCTGAAGCCAATCCCTTGCCAATGTCTTTCCACAAAGCCCACAGCCTTTCAAGAACACTGTGGATCCACCAGGTGACTGGCTGAGAACACAGCCAGACCTGGGCCAGCTGCTCTTCTATCTCACTCTGTCCCTCCCCTCCAGCCTGTGGTCCACTTCAGAGCCCACAAGGGGTTGTATGCCAAACTCCTCAGTTTCTGGTGTCAAGTGGCTTTCTTGGCACATAGTAGATAATTAATAACAAATAAGGAAACAGAAGCATTGCAGCAGAAATGTGAAAGACTAAAAACATTTTTTACTCAACGTCACTAAGAGTCAAAGAAAAGCAAATTAAAATCATAATGAAATACCATCTCTGCCTATCAAATTGACTGGAGGCAGGTCACTTGGTACAATCTTTCTGAAAAGTAATGTGGCATTATATTTCAAGTTTTTTTTTTTTTAAAGAAAGGCATACCTTTTGCTGAATACTTGATTATTTCCTTAAATTCCTGGGTAAAAATTTTTGGACAAAGATATTCATCTCAACCTTCTTTACAATTTAAGAAAAAAAAAAGGAGAAGGAGGTAATTTTCCAAAAACTTACACATTAGTATTGATATACATTCAAATGATGGAATATTAATTTTGCAGAATTTTTAATGACATGAAAAACTTACCACAATAGAACAATAAAGGGAAAAAGAATTTCGTGAATACATACAATTGTGTTACAGTAAACTCCTCATTTTGCGTAGACAGAGTTCCCAGCTAGAGCTTAAGCCATAATTTACCCTTGGGATTGAGTTATGTCTGGGAATCACAAGTGGAATGATGGGATGAATCTGGTGGAATTATCCTGGGAGAGAAGTCATCATCTGGAGGAAAGAGGCCAGGTAGACAAGCTTAACCCAGGAACAAAGCTTTATACACAGACAGGGTGGGGACGTTCTGAGGAAGACAAGGTACCTGTCCCTCCATTCACGGGGAGCTCAGAATATATCTGAGCCTACAGAAAGGAGGGCTGCTGTTCAGATTATCTGTTCCTGCACAACAAACTACCCCAAAATTTAGTGACTTAAAACACCAATTTATTTTTTTTCTTTTTTTTTTATTATACTTGAAGTTTTAGGGTACATGTGCACAACGTGCAGGTTAGTTACATATGTATACCTGTGCCATGTTGGTGTGCTGCACCCATTAACTCGTCATTTAACATTAGGTATATCTCCAAATGCTATCTCTCCCCCTTCCCCCCACCCCACAATAGGCCCTGGTGTGTGATGTTCCCCTTCCTGTGTCCAAGTGTTCTCATTGTTCAATTCCCACCTATGAGTGAGAACATGCGGTGTTTGGTTTTTTGTCCTTGCGATAGTTTGCTGAGAATGATGGTTTCCAGCTTCATCCATGTCCCTACAAAGGACATGAACTCATCATTTTTTATGGCTGCATAGTATTCCATGGTGTATATGTGCCACATTTGCTTAATCCAGTCTATCATTGTTGGACATTTTGGTTGGTTCCAAGTCTTTGCTATTGTGAATAGTGCCGCAATAAACATATGTGTGCAATTTATTATTTTCATTCATGTTCCTCTGAGCTAGCTGGGCTCAGCAAGGCAGTTCTCACTCAGGATTTCTTAGGTGGTTGCTTGGGCTAGAGTCATCTGAAGGCTCCACCATCTGTCTATCCAAGATGACGCACTCACATGACTGCCAGTGGGTACTGACTGTCCCTGCAGAGGAACTATTAAAAGGAATGCCAGCGAGGCACAGTGGCTCATGCCTGTAATCCCAGCACTTTGGGAGGCCAATGTGGGTGGATCACCTGAGGTCAGGAGTTCAACACCAGCCTGACCAACATGGTGAAACCCCCTCTCTACTAAAAATACAAAAAATGAGCCGGGCATGGTGGCAGGTGCCTATAATCCCAGCTTCTTGAGAGGCTGAGGCAGGAGAATGGCTTGAACCTGGGAGACGAAGGTTGCAGTGAGCCAAGATCAGACCACTGCACTCCAGCCTGGGCAACAAGGGTGAAACTCTGTCTCAAAAAAAAAAAAAAATGCCCACACGTGGCTACCTGTGGACTCTCCATAAGGTTTCTCGTACCATGAGAGGAAGTGACCCAAGAATGAGCGTTCCAAGAGACCCAGGAAGAATGGCAAGCCTTCTTACAACCTCACCTCAGAGGGCCTACAACATCCTTTTGAATGCATCTTTTTTGGTAAAGTAAGTCGCTAAGACCAGCCCAGAGTCAAAGGGTAGGGGATTATATTCCACCTCCTGATGTGAGGAGCTGCAGGCCAAGGCATGGAGGGAAGAGACAGGGGGCAGCCCTCCCCCAAGCCTATTCACCACAACTGTTTTCTATGAAGAGCTCTGAAAACATTGCTACATAAGACAAAAAGCAGACCTGTGCCGCAAATTACAAGCCAACGGAGGCTGAGACTCCCACCTCTACAGTGATCCCAGCCTGGCTTTGGTGCCCTACAGGATCCAAAAAGCACAATCATGTTTCTATACCTGGAGGAAGGCTCCAGGTACTAGGAGAAGCAAGAGTGCCTGGCAGCTGTAAGATATGACAATACCCAGTAGAAAAAGTTTTCATGGTGGGCCAGGCCACAAAGGGAAAGCACATTCAGAGACATGGAGGCCTCAGAGTAGACACCACTGTAAGGGCCACAGCTGTGGAAGTGAAGGAGATAGACAAGTAGCTCCTGAGTTCATCTGAGAAATCTCTTAGAACTTCCCAGAAATAACTCAGCAGGACTTTGTAAGAGGAGAAGGACATGAGACCTATAATTCCACATAGAGATAAAAGCCAGTTAAATATAAATTATGACTATTAATATCACCTCCCCATTTTTCATCCCAGCTTGGTGCAAAACAGCTTACATGACTTAATATATGAACACATGTTTCTGTGAACACAAATATAAACATATACAACTATACACACACACATATGAATGTTCTTGGAAAAAGAATGGAAGAGGTACATTACAATGTTAATTCTGCTGTCTCTGATATCCTTGATATCAGGACAGTGTTTTTGATTCTTTGTATATTTTTCTGTATGTTCTCAATTCTCCATGATGAACATAGTGCTTGTATAACTAGAAATAAGTATATTTTTTAAAGGAAAGTATACATCCTATCTTTAATGATGGTGCTTGTTCAAATGAGGTCATGAGGGAAGGTTTCCCCTGCCCCAGCCTGGGCTGTGAACACAGCAAGCTTGACAACCCAGAACACCTATAAGAGCTATGGACTCCAGTGGGGCCCAGGAGAGCCATGAGCATAGCAGGTCAGTAGCCACTAGGTGAGGATGTTCAGAGTGATCCCAGGTGAGCACCCACCAGCCTGTCCTCCCTAGGGTTACCATACCAGCCCCTCAGAAGTTGTGTTGTGTTCGCATATACATCACTAAAGTTATCCATCCATATTGGAAGAGGAGGCAGAAAGAAGGCATTTCTCCTCCTAAAATGTGTGAGCTGGCTGTCTGCTAATTCTTGCTTTCCGTCACTACCTGGAATAGACTGAATTGTGCACCCAACCCCCAAATTCGTATGCTGAAGCCTTGATTATCCTTAAGGAGCCAGGTAGAGGAAAGATTAAAATTGGAGTTGTATATGGGGAAGGAAAACCTGTGAGAGAAAAAGCCATTCCTCTACCTGCTGCAATAAACCCTGGGACATTCCTCTGCCACTGAGGCTGGGAAGCCAGGAGTGTCAGCATGCCGAAGTCCCATGCACTGGCCAGCCATCAGGTCTGAGAAACTACTCTCAGTGAGTGCAGGGGTGCTGAGTGTTTCTCCCTAGGCTGGCCACAGGCTCTCAGTTGGTTCAACAGCAATAGGAGAAAGAGAACAAAATTCAGGTGCCCACCAGGAGCCAATCACAACATCCCTGACAGAGAGCTGTATCCACCAGGAAAACCAAGTTCACCACGATGTTAAAAAATAAAAAGAAAAAGAAAGGCTTTTGTAAAGGACTAGCTAAAGAGGTGTGGACAGAGATAGGGCAATGAATAAGAAATCAATAAACCTGAAGATGTGACTGAATTCCTGCCATCTCATGATAAAATTTGAATGGAGAAGGAGTTGCTTCTTATGGAGGAGCAAAGAAAGTTGATTCTTCAGATGGACTGTACTCTTGGTAGTAAAGATGCTGTGAACACTGTCAAAATGCCAACAAAGGATTTAAAACATAACATAAACTTAGTTGATAAAGCAGTAGCAGAGATTGAGAAGACTCACTCCAATTTTGAAACAGGTTCTACTGTGGGCAAAATGCTATCAAACAGCATTGCATGCTACAGAGAAATCTTTCATGAAAGGGAGAATCGATCAGTGTGGCAAACTTCATTGTTGTCTTATTTTAAGAAATTTCCATAGCCAGTCCAACCTTCAGCAGTCACCATTGTGATCAGCAGGCCTTCAACATCAAGGCAAGAGCCTCTTCCTGCAAAAAGATTACACCTTGCTAAAGGCTGAGATGATTCTTAGCATTTTTAGCAGTAAAGTATTTTTAAATTAAGGCAAACAAACAAACAAAAAAGAAATCATAAGGTGACCACAGAAAACCACCACCACCCCCAGGGCTCAAGGAAGAGGGGCAGGTCAGAAGACAGTGAAGCTATGAAAACTGGCTTCCCATGTAGGAGGGGCCACACATGGATAAAAATGAATGAAATACTGCCAGAAGTGTGCTGGGGAAGGGAAGAAATATCCCAGACCTCCCGATTCCCACTGCCCAACCTACTAGTGCCTCCCATGGGCCAAACACAATGAGAAGTCAGTCGGCAAGTGAGCCCAGATGATGCAGTCAGCCTTCCTCCAGACACAGAGCACAGCCAAAAGGGGTCAAAAACTGTACTGAGGCTGGTCCAAGGGCAATGGTGTTTACAACTAATCGATCACAACCAGTTACAGATTTATTTGTTTCTTCTCCACTCCCACTGCTTCTCCTGACAAGCCTTTAAAAAAATACTGATCTGGGAGCAAATGGGATATTATTCACATACATAGGTATTATTATTATTCCAAGTTTGTCGATGAGAAAAGTGAAGCAGAGAAGTTGGGTATTTGCTCTACATCATCTAAACACCATATTAAAGTTTCTAGAAGTCACTTAGACAGGGCAAGTCTGTTTATTGTAATAGGCAAGTCAACGGCATATAGTAAGCACCAGCAGGCAAGTATTACACACGATGACAGCACATGGCCAGGTAACAGAACAATGGCAAAAATGACAGTGTTGGGAGGGAGAGGAGTTGACAGAGAGACCTCCCGGAAAAGATGATTCCTGAGCAGAGTCTCAAATGAATGTGAAATAGCAGAGGAGTTCAATTCAGTTCAGCCCTGTGCCTTTCCCTGTGGCTAACAAGCTAAAAATGGGGAGATGCATTCCTAGAAAATCTCTATTGACTACCTCTTTCTTCCTGCACCAGTTATGAGCACTTGATGCATTCCAGGCACTCCCTGTCATCCATCTCTGTATCCCCAGAGCTAACCTGTAAGAAATAAATGCCAGTATGATTCTATAGGAGGCAGTGCTAGGGAATGTTTAAGATTTCAGACTCTGCATCAAACCAACCTGGGCTTGTATCCTCATCCAACTACTTACTTACCAATGGAGCAATTTTCTAAGTCTCTTTTTCTGCATCTATAAAAGGGACATCCTGGTAGTAGAATTTACTTCATTGCAGTCTTGTGAGAATTAAATAAGGTAATGCATAAAAAGACCTTAGCAAATAAGTGCTTGAAAAATTATTATGATTGTTATGATTATGATTATATGACTTTACTTATTAGTAATCATGATTTCTATAAACTAACAGAAATTCTATAATGTAGTAGAAATTCTAATAGAAGAAAGCAGTTCACCATACACAGTTGAAGGAGGACTCCCCAAAAAAGTGGGTGTTTGAGTTGGACTTTGAAAGATAAATCAGAGTCCTTCATGCAGAGGGAAGAAAGGCATTCCAGGAAAAAACAAAAACAAAAAAAAAACAGCACGGGCAAGGTCATGGAGGCCCTTCCTCCTATACCACCTGTGAGAGCTTGACACATTCCAGGCACTCCATCTCATCCGTCTTTGCATACCCAGAGCTAGCCTGTGAGAAATAAATACCATTTTGATTCTATAGGAGGCAGTATTGGGAAATGTTTAAGATTTCAGTCTCTGCCTGGGCCTTCAGTGTGATCAAGGTATATGGTATAACAGTAAGAAAGAAGAGGAAGTAGTGATAGGGCTCAAGAATAGCCAAGAGGCTTTCAAAACATCCAACCCATTTTTGAAAACCCAATGCAAGCTCCCTCCCTTTCCAAAAGCCTTTCATGAGCATATTATGATGCACTAAGCCTCACCTCTTCCAAATGTCATTAGTGCCCTGGTTCTGAACCATACAACTCACTACTTAATTTTTTTAAAAAGATATAATTATCCTCAAGATTCTTTTGGGTGATTTTTTTCACTCTAACTTTCTAATTCTCCTGGCCAACAGCAGCTGCTAGATCTTTAGAAGACTTTTATATTAGTTGATTGTTTGATAACTCTTGGTTGTTCATTTTTTTTCTCCATACTAAGTAAAAAGAATGGCCCCTCTCAGCCCATGGTGAATGATAGAGACTTATCAGAGCATTTCAAAGTGGCTTCTCCAGCTCCTGGTGGCCAAGCTCGAGACACAAGCCTGGCTGGTTCTATCTCTGAACTCCACTCAGCAGTGTCCCCTCTCTTCTCTTCACTTCTCTAGACAGGGATGCAAACACTCTGTCTCTCTACCAGATTGACACCCAGTAGACACCATGAACAACAACCAATATTATTTTCATTTTTATTATCAACTGCTTCATTTTCAGGTCCCGAAGACATTAATCAGTCCCATTTCTATAACAGAGCATTTTCTCACTTTTATAATTTTTAATCAACATAATGGAAGTGTGAGAAAGCTGTAGATGCTTCTTCTTTGGGAGATTTGCAAAAGTAGAAGAATAGTCTCTGCTGGGAATTTGTTTCTGGGTGGCCTGGTCAAAACACAGGGAAGGGGGGAACCGGAACTGTTATTCTATGCCAGTCAATTCCATGATTCCGAGCAGAACCATCTTCTACCGACAATCATTTTATTAGAACTCACACAAGACTCCAGGTCAATTACATGACTGCTGGCACAAAGGAGACCTAACTTCTTCAACTGAAAATGGCCCCCCAACCCCACCGGAAGGTTAAGTGCCTTGCCTTAAGTACTTATTACAGTCAGACACATGTAGTTTTTCCCCAGGAAAAGTACTGATGTTGGAAAAGGACCGGCTGGAATTAGAGCATCTACAAGAAAATTTCACTATTTACAAAACTCCCTGACACTGGGCTGCTGTTTACTGAAGTTGAAACTTTCTGGGAAGTAAGAGTTCAAAGACAGACAACTGTAAATATTCTTAATAGGATGAAAGAAATCATCTATTAATTTATTGATTCTTTTATTCATACACTCCTAAGTGTAGCATATTCTGAAAGAAATATTCTGGTTTTCCCATTCATAAAACATCATTCCAGATTGGAATAGTCAATTTGGATTAACCTGGAGAGCTCAGGGTTCTGGCTAGTTGTACATTTCAGGATGCCATCTCCAGCCCCGACTTTCCAGGATCCAATCACAACATTTAGCATTTTGTATTGCAATCACCTATTTTCATATCTTTATTCCTGACCAGACAACAAGTTCTATGAACCCCATTTAGGTCATCATTGTGGACCTAGCACCTGTACAGTGCCTCGCACATAGTAGTTGCTAAGTAAATTTTGGCCAAATGGTGGGATGAAAGAGATCTGAAGTGAGTATTTATTCCTGCATTTATTGATGTATTCATTTATTCAATACCTAGCAATACCTGGAAAGGATTTTTATCTGGAGATTTTATAAACAGAACAAAAGTAATACACTGAGAATGCTAATCCCACACATGAGGATGGGGACTGGCTCTGCCAAGTTGGATGGATCACAGACAGACCAGTGAATGAGTAGATCCCAGTGCGTGGGTGGATTGGAACTAGATGAATGGACTGATGAGCAGACAAAACAAACTACAAAGACTTGCAGCAGAATTCCAAGACTAATTTTCAGCTCATACAGGTGTGGCTAAGGGAATTATCTCATCCCATTCTGGTTTAGATCCTTTTTTTTCTTCACTGTCTTGCGATGAAACCGCTCTCTCAGGTGAATATCATCTCCATTTATCACAATCTACCTGCCATCCATAAATTTGTCTACATCTGCTCTCCATCTTGTATCTTCACTCTCTTCCTCTTTACTCACTGTGTTTTTATAAATGTGGTGAAGATTCTTTATTAAATTTAAGAAAATTTAAAACCCCTCAATTGATTCCATATTCCTAGAAATTTACTTCCTAATCTCTCTCCTTTCCTTCACACCCACAATTCCTGTAATAGCATCTTTATTCACTGCTATTACTTCACCTCTTAATCACTCCTCAAGTCACTAAAATGTGGTTTCTATACCCATCATCTCCTAGAGACTGCTCTTACCAATGTTATTTGCTAAAGCTAATAGATACATCTCAGTCCTTATTTTTCCTGCAGCTTTTGCTACTGTTGACTACAGTCTCCCCTGGATTTCAGTGCTGTTATTCTCACAGGGCTTTTCTTCCACCCTTTTAGACTCAACTTTTCAGGTCTTGATCCTTAACTGCTAAGTCTCCTCAAGGTTTTTCCTTCAACTCCCAGCTCTTCTTTCCTCAAAAACTATTAATAATTCTACTTGGACACATCCATATCCATGTCTCTAAAAAGCATCCATGTGCTTGTGACTCAACAACAGTCTCTCCAACCCAGAGCCCTCTCCTAAGCACCAAGCCTGTCTATGGAGCTGCCTGTTGGACATCTTCACCTGGATGTGCCAGAAGCAGCTCAAATCCAGCATGTTTAAAATTGAACTTGGCATTTCCTCCAGACTCTGCTCCTCCTCCATGTTCTCCACTCCAGGGAATGTCCCCTCCATCCACTCAGGCATTCAAACCAAAAACTGAGTCCACCTTCTGGTAGGGTTGAATCATGAGTCCTGGATCCAGGGGGAGGCAGTCAGTTGAGAGAATGCAAAAGTCTGAAAAACATCTCAAAAGACTAATCTTAGGTTTTCCAATAGTGACGTTATTTATAGGAGCAATTGGGAAGTCACAAATCTTGTGACATCTGGCCACATGACTCCTGAGCAACAAGGGATTATAGAAACACAAGTTACGGAGCAATGGCTGGTTATTGTTTAACTACATCTATTTTTAGAAGAATTCACACCCCTCCTATAATCTTAATTTTGTGGCCTTTCATTACTTACAAAGGCTGTTTCAGTCCCTGAACAAGGAGAAGATCAATTTGAGAGAGAGACTATTATCATCCTCTCTTTAAAGTTAAACTATAAACTAAATTCCTTTCATGGTTAGCTTGGCCTACACTCAGGAATAAGTGAGGACAGCCAGCCTGTGAGGCAAGGGGCAAGATGGAATCAGCCATGCTAGACTTCTCTTGCTGTCCTAATCTTTGCAAAGGCAGTTTCTCTCCTTCATCCTCACTTGTCACCAAGATCTGCCCATTCTACTTCCTTAAAATCTTTTAATTCCATCCAATTCTCTACATCCTCTTATCTGCTGACTTAATTCAGGCCAGTATCATCTCTGGGATAGATTAATGTAGCCTTTGAGCTGGTCTTATCTACAGTTTTTTTACTTTCTGCTTTGGAACTAAAGAGGAAGAAAAAACAATTTTTTCTTTACCCTTTATAGTTCTTGATTAGAATGGAGCTCTGTAACAAAAAACAGATTAACAAGAGAAAAACAAACAGAAGTTTGACAACATGTATGCTTCATGTATCCACGGGAGAGATACAGAGAAATGAGTGACTCTCAGTGAAGTGGCTTTGAATGTGGGCTTAAATACCATGGTTTGTTGAAACAAAGAATGCTAGGGGGAAGGCTGGTTATGGGGAGATGCCCAGGAAAACATAGTAAGCAAGGGTAAGGTTTGCTAAGGTTTGTTATGCAGGTTTATAAGTCAGTGCTTTCACTATTGGTAAGAGTCTCTAGTGGTTTAGATGCATCTTTCTCTCCTGGTACAGAGAAGGAGACACCTTTGCAAATAGAGATTTTTCTTTATCGGTATAAATTTCCCCTACAAAGGGGTAACTTCTACTCTGTTTTCAGAGTGTGTCTGCAATTTTGCAAAACAATCAGCTCAAAATAATCCTTATGCCAAAGAGGCATATTCTGATCTCCTATGGTCATATTTGGGGGTGTCATATTTTCTTCTTTTACACAACCAAAGACGCAGAGTGAAAAGAATTCATTTTCTCTCCCACCTTCAGCTCAAATCATTTCAGACTCTTCCAAAGACTTCAGGGCAAGTTCAAAGTCCCCAGCCTGCCATTCAAGGCCCTGCCAGCCGCATCTTCGGCCCCATCTCTGACCCTTCATCTATCCACTCTAGTCTGTTTGCAGTCCCAGAGCTCTTTACTTCTCTTTTCCTGGGACTTTGCCTGTGATAGCCCTTCAGCCTACAGTACATTTCTGTCTCTCCTTCTACACTTAGCTAACTTCAACCCATTTTTAAACACAGCTCAGTTACTGCCTTTTCAGGAAGTCTTCTCTGACTCCCAGGCTGAGTGAAGGGCTATGTGTTTTTACGATTTAACCCTATTGGGGCCTTCCCCTCCATGATGTGCCAAAAACAATGAGCAACTTGACAGTTTTTCACTCAGTGTCCCAAGCCTAGTACATGTAAAGCATTTAGCAATTTTTTTTGTCAATAAGTGAATGATTGATGGGTGGGAGGAAGGAAAGAAGGAAGGAAGGAAACAATAGCTGGGTGAATGAAATCATCTGTAACTCTTAATTTCACTCCACATTATAAATCTATAATGCCCTCTAGTGACTGATGGGTTAATTGTACATTTTAGAAGCTACTGGGCCAATTGGCAGACATGTATTGAGTACCTAATAAAAGAAATCCTCAGTGCCGACTGAGCACTATATGAACTGACGGTCTACTAGAGCAACAGCACATATACCAAAGAATCACTGTACTCTGGGTGCTATGTAAAGCAAAAGGCCAGGGAAAGTTGCAACAGCAGGAGTGGGAATAAACAGACCAAGGTTCTGCCAGCCACTAGCTGGACACATTTTCTAGCTACCCTAAGCCTCATTTTCTCATCTATAAAAACGGGGGTCATAACACCTATTTCTCAGGATTGTTGGAAGAATTAAAAGAGAAAGTATTTGCTCCAGGCATGTGCTTTGTTCCTCACGGAGTAGGCCCTCAACAAAAGCTACCTTCTTTTCTCTCTGCCTGCCTTCCTCGCTCATGAATCTGCAACTCCCCCTGGGACCTATTAAAACTGAATTGAGATGAGGGAAAAGCACCTCCATCCATGCCTGGAGAGCCAGTACATGTTAGCTGGTAGAAATAGACACCCTTGGTTTTAAAATGTTGGTGTCTCCCAGGGAGTCCGTGTGGTACCCAGGAAAGCCAGTCCTGGGAACTGCACCCCATCTTCTCCGCAGGCAGCGAGTTGAGTTTGTATGTTTCTGAAGCATTGCTCTCCTTCTTAATCTAACCAGGATTATGAACCCTGGTGTTGGCCCAGATTATTTTCTTCTAGCATCTGGAGATGATCATGGCATTCTCTTCTTCCAAGCCTTTGTTTGCTGCCCATAGGCCACAGAATACAACTCCAACTCCTCAGCATGACATGCAAAGTCCTCTGAGGCCTAGGCTCTCCTCTCCCTCTGCAGCCTATCTACACCCTCTACTCCAACTATACTGAGCCTTTATATGAACCACGGTCCCAAAAACACCTTGTTCTCTAGCACTTCTGGGTCTTCTTTTTGCTGTTCCCTCTGTCTGGAACACTGTCTACAGTTCAGTGCCTGGCAAAGTCATCTTCATAGTCTAAGGACCAGCCCAAGCCCTTGAGCAGATTCCCCAAGTCAGAGGCAGAAATAATGAAGAGGAGGGTGCTGAGCAGTGTGTAATGGACAGGCCAAGCAGCTTGGCTGCTCACTCAGCCATTTGTTCAATGAAAATACTGTGCCTCAATGCCTGGCTCTGCGTGCAGCTCAGAATTACTCTGGTGAATAAGCAGGGTCAGTCCTTGGCCTTACAGTGCTCATGGTGCAGTGGAGGAACCAGGCAAATAATCATACAAATAAATAAATTAGTATACACTCTGGAAAGTGCTAGAAGGAGAAAGTTCTTGGCGCCATGACAGGAGTATCTAATAAATATTAGGGGTCAAGAAATGGTATTCATGCTGAAACAAGGAAGATGCTTAGCCAAAGGAAGGATGGAGAGAAGAGAGTTCCAGGCAGAGGGAACAGTATGTGCAAAGTCCCCAAGACAGGAAGGAGTTTGGATGTTCAAAGGGCTAGAAGAAGGCAGGGGTGGCAGACGGACACAAAATGAGGCTGGTAGGGTAGACATGGGCCAGATCATTTAGGACTCAGGAGCAGAGCGTGTGGAAAAGAAAATAATGGGAGCTAGAAAGGGAAGTCAGAGGCAGGTCTTGAATGCCACACTGAGAAGTTTGTGCTGTATCGTTGAGGTACAAGGAGCCAAGACAGGATTTTGGCATGTCACTTCAGCAATTAAAAATAAAAACAACCAGAAGTGTGCACGTCTGATGAAGGGAAATGGTCCAGCCTGGAAAGAGTTAACCCCTTCCTTCTCTCAAAATCTTCATAAGCCCAAGCACTCTGAAAAATAATAAGCTATCATTTATCAGCAAGGTTCTGCAAGGTAGCATTTAAAACTGAAAAAAGGCAATAAATCAGGCATATATAATTTAAGCCCTGAAGTATAGTAATTCTTCTTTTAATGCAACATCTGGTATAAATAATGCAATTTGCAAGGGAGAGGGAGCAGTGAGGGCTACGCAGAGCTTTCATTATTGTGCAAGCAGCACTTAAAGCCCCATTTCCCTCCCATCTTTCCAGCAACACCAAGGACTTAAAAAAAAAAAAAACATGATTATTATTCCCTTGGCTGGCCAAAAGGGGAGTCAAGTTAATTATAGACTTGTTTGCCGGTTATTAATTAAACCCCAGCTAAACATAAAAACACAAGGGAAGTGCCATTTCCCGCTCCGTGCTTCTAGCCTCTTGCAGCTATGGAGTTGACGTTCTTGCCTTTGCTGTCCACCCCATGTCCTGTTTCCTCTGCACATTTTCTCAGGAGGGCCCCAGGGCCTTTGCCCTGTGTGCAAACAAAATCTTATTTTTAGCTGGGAAGGAACACAAAATTGAAAGCTCTAAAACAGCAGGGGGACAATAGAAGGAAGCTTGCAGACACTGACCGGTCAGTGACACCCAGGGTTCTGGGGCTGCCACACCCTCCTTCCCCTCCCAGGTCTGCAAGCCTCCTCAGTCTTCTTTTGGATGTCCCCCAGCTTCACCTGCACACTTCCCGTGAGGCAGCTCTATAGAGGGAGTGATCAGAAGGAAGACCTTTGTGGTATATGGACCAGATTTCCCAACCTGCCCCCACTTGCCAGTGCCATGACATTGAGTAAGTTACTTCACCTCTCCGTGCTCAGTTACCTCCTCTCTAAAATGGAGATAGTAATAGATCCACCTCTTAGGTGTGCCATGGGCATTAAATGAGATAAAGCTGGTCAATTACTTAGCCTGGCACATGATTGTTCATAAATATTAGTCTCCTTTCCCTCATTCCTCCACTCCTCTGGGAAGACAGGCTTCACGTCTGTATGTCCCACATAAATATCAAATTCTAGAAGGTGCACCTGTGACCTTGGCACATCTCAAAACATTTCTAAGCTTCTATTTCCTCATCTCTAAAATGGGAACCCAGCATCCACAAGATCCTTGGGAGAATTAGATAGCAGGAGCAGCCCAATGCCTGGTTCTGATACTTAATATACATTAGTTATTGAATTATCTGAGAACAATCCTCAGTATACTTAAAGAATGGATTATCAAACCAGTGTCTGTGGTATAGGAAAGGAGAGATTAATCAAAGTACATCATACCAAATTAGCCTCATTTCCCACTAGAGTTGAGATACTAAATTAGAACACGTTCCATAGATGTTCCACGAAGACATAAGAGAATTTGCCAGATTTGTTGGCAAAATGAACCTAGACCGTCAATCTAGCCTCCTTAAAATCCTCCAGCAGGTAGGTTCTCTACCTGTCCATAGAGGCCGTGGTTAGCCTTACCCATGCTGTTTCTTGGACAGGAAGAAGTAAGGACAGAGCTGATCACCAGTGATTTCCTCAAAACAAGGTTTCTCAATGTTACCAGTCACATGGATGAAAATAGAAAGCCTTCCAGGGAAACTTGAAGCTTAAACCAAACTTGAGGGAATAGTGCATGTGACTTCCAGACTCCAAAGGTGATGTGCCCTGTTTCCCCCTGTACTGACCGAGCAAGCTACTGACTGCTGATTTCTGTTTCCAAACTTCCCAATCCCACCTCTCAGAGCTGCTATGGACAGCATGGCAGAGCCTGCACTGACGTTGGCTTTGCAACTTGGGTTCATGCCCTCCACTGGCATCACTCAATTCCATTCAGTTATTCTTCTCATTTCTATATAGTTTTAGATTTGCTGTTTCTGTTTATTGTTTCCACTTTCCACTCATGTCCTAGTAGGAGTCATTAGACTCAGATTCAAGTCCTAGTGCTGCTGCCAAGATGCCAATAACACAGATGCTAGAGATACAATGGCAAACAAGATCTGTGAGATCTCTACAGGAAAGACAGAGGGTAAACACATAATTACACAAATAGTTATTTAATTGCACTTTTACTAAGCACTGGGTTCTAAAAGAGCATATAACAGAGGAACTAGCTTTGATGTCCTATTTGGCCTCCTAAAATCCCTCCCATGAATAGTGCACAAATTGTTATACTCATTTTGAAGATAAAAGTGAAGCCAGAGAGGTCATATAATAGGTACAACACAGAACACAGAGGTCATATAATAGATACGACACAGTGGAAGGAAGGAAAAGAGAGAGGTAGGGAGACAGGGGGAAAGGAAAAACAAGATATTTGTAAACTGTAAAGTGCTATATACATGAAAAGACAAAACAACTATCATTCCCCCATGGTGGGATACCAAGCTTGAACTTCCATTGAATATGTAAAGAATCACTTACATTAGAGTTTCCATATTGCTTTCCTGTTTTCTAGCCTTCTGTGGAACAGGAAGAGATAAGGATATGGGAGGTAGTGTCTCATAGAAGATACCAACCCTATATTCTGTTGCCTGCCAAATAAAAGTCTTTATATGTCAACTGCTAACATGAACGAATTATTCAAACTTTCCAACTGTTACAGTTTGCAAGAATTGGACAATAACTGAGATTATTGTCAGCATTAAATAAAACAACACATATACAGCCTGACACATACTGGGTGCTTAGGAAATAGAAAGACATTCCCTCCCCTTTCTTTACTTCCCTTTTCCTCCCTCTGGAGAGGTCTTCATTTCACAAGAAGATGAATCAGCATTCTAGGAACCTGGCAGGAGTTGCTGTGAGAGGTGCACCCTGCCCAGTCAGTATGTGGCCTTGGTCTTGGCTCCAAGACTTAAAATTTAAAAAAGAAATATGACTGGCATGCCCCTCACTCCTAATTTCCCATTTGCTATTCATGCCTTACCAATTCCATGAAGGGCAGAGGACTTCCAAGGAAAAGGATATTGGGGAGAGGAGGGAAAGAGCAGTATGGGAAGATCTCATGTTTTTTCTCTGCAGCTCCAAGAGCTTATGACTAGTTTAATAAAAAAAAAAAATCTTATTCTCCAAAAGTTGAACTAAGATGAATTTTCAGTCCTTCTAAGATTTTTTGTATTTAAGGAGAACCGCAAATGCATCACTGCAGTTCTCCTTAAACACAGAAGAGCTTTGGTCAGGAATGCAAAGTGGATCTTGGACTTTCATGTTCCAAAGTTTTAAAACTCCAAAGTCTGCAGAATTGCTACATCTCCCAGGACCTCCACATGCAAAACTGATTGTAGAACTTAATCTGGAAGAAGTTTCGCCTCCTGTGAAGAGCTGGCATGCTTCTTCCTGGTGACAAGAAAGACCTTTCTCAACCCCTACTCTGTGCCCAGCTTTGTGCTAGATGCCAGGTGGCTGGGAATAGGGTGAATATGACAGTGGCAACCTTGTCTGTGAAACTCACAGATGACCCTCTGAAGATCAAAGGTAGCAGGCTGGAATAGTAAGGGAGAAGTAAGTCCACTTGTTGGGAAGTAATGTTTATTATTAAACAGCTACAATGTGTTGCATGTTTCATACTGTTGGGTCTTCCTTTTCATTGTGTATTTGGCCTTCCCAGTGATACTTAGGAGTAGGAATTTCTAGACACATGACCAGGGACAGGTTACTTACACTTCTATTGCATATGAGGATTCTGGAACCCTAAGACCATAAGTGGCAGAGCTGGAATTCAAACTCAGGTCTGATTCCAGAGCCCATTCTTATCTGGCTGTCACATAGCCACCAAAGGGCAGGAGAAAGTGAGGTCAAAAACAAATAAGATTGTTAAAGTGGGCAGAAGAACTCAAAAGTCAGAGCAAGAATGGAAAAATTCATTATTGGGGCAAACAGCGCCTTATTTTTGTAAATTACAACCTAGTAAATTAATGGTCCCCATGTCCTCAAGAAAAGGTTAGAATATGAGCAGGATCTTCCACTGAAATAGGCAGGGAAGCATGTAATTGGTTTTAGAAAGACTTCCATCCAAAATCATTAAATCAAGTTTTGGCACATGAAAGGGTAAGCTTCAGTTATTGGAAAATTTACTTAGGTGACACAGCTCATTTCCTGATGAAGCCAGGTTAATGGGACATTACCGAACCTAATTCCTCCAGAAGTAAATGACTCACCTCTCCTCCTGCTGGGCCGCCTGGAGCTTTCCATGTGCTTGGCCTCCTGCCCTTTCTGAAAACCCAAATACTGGGATGGGAAACTCAGCCAGTAGAGAGAAGTAAAAGAATCAATCCTGTTTGTTCTTTATCTCCTGGTTCTCCACCTAATTAGGTCTTAAACTAAGTGCCATCTGAATAGCCAAATTAAATCCCCCTCCCACCAAGTTGTAGTTATATTGTTATTTGGAAGAAGCCTGGGAAGGTTAAAATGGTCAGATGGGCAGGGGCTTGGAAAGAACAAAATTAGAGAAGTATAAAGGAGTTCTAGGGGTGAACTTCTCAGAATGGGCATGGAGCATGAGGTTATTTGTGTCTGTGCAGATGTTCACAAAATAATGTTATCCACTACAAAGGAACACTTGATAATCAGATGGTCAAGATATCCTATCCTGTGCCTAGGTTGTTTCTTTCCCTAGCCACCTTGATGCTTACTCAATGGGCTCATGAACAAGATGGCCATAACTACAGGGATGGACATTAGCAATGCTGGAATTAGGTCAACTTTGGTGAGAAGCCTATGTTATTGAACCCATGTGTGAGCGTCTGTCCAACCCATCAATAGCACAGACCAATGCTGAGCCTAGGGTATTGCATCATTTCCAAGGAAGGTATTCAGCCTCTGGTTTGATCAGACCCCTTGAATCATATAGGGGGCAATGATTTATCCTTGCTGGAAGAGGTATCAATATGTATATGGATTTGACTTCCCTGACCACAGTGTTTCTATAACACCACATCAGTAGATATCAGAATACCTTATTCTCCATCATGAAATCCTGCACGACATTGCTTATGATGAAGGAGTTCATTTTATATGAAAGAAGTGGAACAGTGGCCTCATGACCATGAATCTTCCCACGAACTTTATCACTCAGAAGCAGACAGTCTAATAGAATGGTAAAATAACCTATTGAAGAGTCAGTTATGGTGCTTGCTAGAAAACAATACTTGCAAAGTTGGGATGCTATGCTACAAGATGCAATATATGTTCTGAACTACTAGTTCACATTTGATATCATTTTTCTATAGCCAGAATTCTTGGGTGTGAGAACCAAGAAGCAAAAGGAGCTACCTGCACGATTAACTCTAATAACCCTATCACAAAAATTATACTCCAATTCTTGTACATTTGAGTTCTGCTGGCCTAGAGGTCTTAGTTTTCAAGGAAAAAAATGTTTCCTCCAGGAGACACAACAATGGTTCATTGAACTAGAAGTCAAGATTGCCAGCTGCTGATTGGTGTATCTCATACCACTGAACCAACATGACTAATGATCAAAGTTAATGGAAGATTATAGAAACCCAATACATTCAGATCTACTGAAGCTTTAAACCCTCTAGGGATGAAGGTTAGGGTCTCACACTCAGATAAAAAACCATGACCAACTGAGGTACTAAATGAGAGCAAAGGGAATGTAAATTTAGCAGTGGAATGATGGTCATAATATAACTATGCCCTTGCAATCAGTTGCAGAAATGAAGAAGATTACAACCATCAACAAGTCATTTTCAGTATTCTCAGTTCCTCCCTAGCTTCGAATAAAGTCCAAGTGCATTCACGTGGCCAGCAAAAACTAGATGCAAGATACACTGGAAAAGAGATTGTTCTATCTTTTCAGCTTCTCTAGTAGTACATAGCTTTAGCTTCTATTAAGATTAATAACATAAAGAAGGAATGAGAGAATTAAGACTCTGGGCAGCCAAGAAAAGTGGCAAATGTCTCCTAAATGGAAATATATGTTGAACACCTACCATGAATAAGGCAACATTTGAATTGGCATTTGGAGACTAGGTAAGGAGTGAGGCAAGTGGCTATGAGGGAAATAGCCATTGTATCAATAACAGCCTATGCAATGATTCAGATCTGTTTTGAGAGTGCCAATAATGCCATAAAAGTGGGATGCAGAGTGGGAAAGGTGGGAAAGAATATCATTGCCTACAGTGGAAAAATTGGCCAACATTACCTATCTTGATGGGCAGTAGGACTGTGAATCAAACCTGAGTTACTCTGGGGTCATGCCCAGTTCCACCACCACAGGTCTCCACCTGTTGATTCTCCTTGGAGAGTTAAACACTCAACCAGGCCAGGCACGGTGGCTCACACCTGTAATCCCAGCACTTTGGGAGGCTGAGGCGGGTGGATCACTTGAGGTTAGGAGTTCAAGACCAGCCTGACCAACACGGTGAAACCCCGTCTCTACTAAAACTACAAAAATTAGCCAGGCATGGTGGCGCGTGCCTGTAATCCCAGCTACTCCAGAGGCTGAGGCAAGAGAATCACTTGAACCCGGTAGGCAGAGTTTGCAGTGAGCTGAGATCGTGCCATTGCACTCTAGCCTGGACAACAAGAGTGAAACTCAGTCGCAAAAAAATTAAATTAAATAAATAAATAAACACTCAAGCAGAGGGCAAAGAACTGAATATTCTGGGCCTGGATCATCGTAGAGCTGAAAAAGTACTAGTGATCAGTCCAGAGTTGAACGCTAAGACTTTTCTCTAAGATGAAAGTGTGGGGCCCAAGGAGATCCTGGAGTGCTCACCAGAAAGAAACTCTTGGTTCCACAGCAGCAGGTTTTGCAAAACTATCTAGTCCCACTTTTTGGATACAAGCAAACCCTTGCCACATTCCTATTCTAAGTCCAAAACCAAAACTTTAATTTCCTTTGTGGGAATAAGAAATGGTCTATGTGAGAATAAAATATGCTACTGACAAAAGAGAAGGGGAAGAAAAGGTAGCCTAATTTGGTGACTGCTAAAAAAAAACCCGAAACAAAACAAAGAATTGGGGAGTAAGGTCTACAGCTGTCTCCCCACGAAGTCCTATTACTGAGGACAATGGCAAAATTGTTCTCCCCATCAGAAAGAAACCTTGCAGTCCCCAACCTGGGAGCCACTCACTGTCTTTTGCTATTTCTTTTCTTGAAATACAATTTATTGGAAATTCTGCCAGATCTCCAGGGAGAAAACAAAGGACTGGCAGTAAAATGAAACACCTAATTAACGGAGAGAACTGTTCCACTGTGGCCAGAGGACTTGATGCAAGACTCCTGGCTCCTTGAAGAAAGGAGTGAGGGGAGAGAGACCCACAGAGCACTGAGCACCTGTAACTATTGTACTTCCTAAAATTAGTGTGAAAGTTAATTGAGTTCATTAATCAAGTTGCTTAGAAAAGTACATATTGTATTATGTAAGCATTAGCCATTATTACACACATTTTCCTTGCAACACCTCTGGGTTAGGAATCAATACACCCAACTCACATGTAGTTAAATTGAGGAGCAGGAGAGTTAAGCACTTGCCTAAGTTTTCACAGCTATAATACGATGGAGCCAGGACTAAAATTCATAGCTCTACAATTTTAAATCTGACATATTTTTAGAATATTATACTGCCCCCTTCCCCTGTGACAAAAGGGCTTTCTCATCATTTTGTTCATCTACAGCCTCAGAAGTTTCACCATTGACTTTAGTCTACTTAGGGTCCCTTGCCTCTGTGTTTGTGAACAAATATAGGTCAGATGGCAGGGACTATGGGGAGAAAGCCCAGGACAAGCAAGCCTTTGCAGACAGTACCTGGACTGTTACAATCAAGAGAGAGGAGAGTACAAAAGGATCAGGCGTGGGAAAATAGAGAGGGAAAAGAAAGAGTGAGAAAGAAAGGAAACTGCTCCATTTGCATCTATTTATCTGTGTGTTTACACATTTGTATCCAACCTTGATTTTAAGGGATTATGCAGCAGGATAACATTGAGTCCCACTTGGGGCAGCAGGTTTCCAATGAGTCTCCTTGAAGTGTCACCCCAGTGACTTTTTCAACTTTGATTTACCATTTTTTAGAACAATATAAGACCTTGGCAATAAGACTGCTTCTTCCTCCACCACCTGCCTTCTGCAGAAACCATAAAGTAAAGCAGCTAGTAAAATGCTTCATACATAGTAGGTGTTCAAAATTGTAATATGGCTGCAGAACCAGCAGGCCACCCCAGACAGTTCCCAGTGGATTTGCTAAACTTCCAAAATTAGCCCCTCCTCTTGGGTTTGAGAAGCATGCATTTGTGCAACCCCTTTCCTTCCTTCTTCTCTCTACCCCCTAGGAAGTCTTCTCCCCAGCTAAGATGGCAGGGACTGGTGGGTTTATTGCATTTGCTTGTGTGTTTGTGTGTATATGAGAGCCTTCCCGCAGTGAGGCCAACATATGCAGTCCCACCCTTCACCTCCCAGTCCTAAATTGAAACAAGCTGGTTGCAATTGTGAGCGAGCCCAGCTCACACCAGCTGGGCCCTGCTCACAGCTTCAGAAAACGCTGTTTCATGTTCAGATGCAAATAACAATTTCCTATCTAGAGCATGCCCTGGACTGTGTTCCAATCTGAACGGGGAGGAGAGGGGAGCAGGGGCTCTGGAAAAACATTTGGCCTGGGCTGTCAGGATGAATTATGCGGCCCTGAAGCTTTCCCTGAATTCAGAGAATGGTCAGTGTTCTAAGAGAGGTGCAGAGAGCAGAAGAGTGATGTTCCCAGAGTCTCCAAGCCACTGTACCTACACCCCATCCCCACTGCCAACCGCCCAGACCAGCACTCGTGGCCTGATCCTAGAGGGCTGCCACAGCCTCTGAACTGGTCTTCCCACCTCTAGCAGTGTCCTCTCCAATACATCCCAAATGTCTGCTATCAGAGGGATTCAATCATTCATTCATTCATTCAAAAATTAGTTATTAGTTACCTACTTTGCTCCAGATACTATTGTAGGAACAGGGGATATGATAGGACCCACACAGAGGGGAAAACCCCTGTCCTTGGGAGGTTTATATCCTAATGAGCTTTCTCAAGCACAGTTCTCATCATGTCACTCCATTGCTCTTACTCAGAAGTCCTCAATGGCTGCCTATGGCAAACTGAATAAAAACTACTTCTTAATGCAGACTAGGCCCTCCAGGTTCCGACCTGAATCTGCCTGTCCAGTCTTAAGGTTTCATTTTTCACAGTTTATGATCCAGTCAGAAATCTGTTAAAAATCTACCTACGCTGTGAGATCCAGCTCCAATGCCATCGTCATGGAACCATCCATAATTCCTCCTTTTTTCATGTTCTCACAGCACTATCCCAGAAATTCACAGTGAGGAGGAATGGCAGAGATTATCCAAAACTCCAAATTTACATTTCATCAGTCCCATTCTCCCCAGGCCCCATTCTGTGTTAGGACTAATTAATTCATACTGTGGTAAATGTGACTCGGGTTCCTTGATGGGAGGGTTTAACTAAAACGTATTAAGGGTCTAACATGTGCCACACTCTGTTTCACACTTTTATTAATTTTATTTCTTCCCATTCTCTATTTTCTCCTGTTTACATGTAAGGAAACCAAACTCAGAGAGATGAGGTAATTTACCCAAAGTCACACAGCTAGGCGGTAATGGACTACCAATTCAAAGGCGGGTTGAATGGGCTCCGCTTTGCTCAGTGCCCATCATCATTCCTTCCCACCTGGAGCACACAAATCCTCTAGTATGCAGTGTCGTCCTTGGGGAGCGCCGGTGCAAAGGTACAAGATAAACACTGGGCATCTACCTGGGGCATCCTTTTCACATACTGGCAAGCCATGTAAATAGTATTTGATGTCAAGAATAGCCACATGAAAATAAAGCCAGCTGTTGCATATTATGGAATGGAATTTTAAGATTGCATGAATTTTAGGGATCAAATGCAAGCCTTCCAATCCACTTTGCACCACAGGAGGGCTGCTTTAGGCTGTGCTCCAGGCCTCTCAGCTGGTACCCATTCAGTCCCCTGGGCCATGAGGGCTACTTGGATAGAAAAGATAGTTTTCTAACCAATAGTTTTCACTATTGCAATTTCTTACTGAGCTGTGTATGCTCTTCCCCTCCTAAGAGCTGGGCCTTGCATGTAGCTGACGCCTTTGACTCATGATGCCTTAATGATGAGTTGATTCCTCTTCTTTCGTAGCATCTTCATCTGCCAGGGCCTTAGATGCCCTACCCTAAAGAAGGTGAGAATGTCAGTCATTGTCCCAAGTGATTGGAGAGGTTTACATTGTAGGAGCTGTGATGAGGAGAGGACTCCATGTCCTTCAAATGACTCCATTTTATATAATTTAGAATTGACTCTAGCTGGTATTGACTAAAAGCAAGGCTGGGTTTCCTGAATACAAATAAGCACTGGAGAACATGTGTTTTTGTTTTTGTTTCAATTATCTGGCAGGAACAACTCAAATATAATATATAGCACATGAGCCACCACACCCCTCATCTCCCTAACTCCCATGTCCTTGGCAAACTTGGCTAATTAGTCACAAACCTGTTTCTCCTAGATCTGACTTAACTTCAGGATCCTTCTCGACACAGCAGTTGGGCAGCTGTTACCAATGGGTCAGAGTTGGCACAAGAAACAAGTCTGTTTGCCTTCCTTGATCTAGAGCACAGTCCTTGAATGAAGGAGATGATTTCCATTCTTCCCAGAAGCATGCAATCTCCTTTACAAAACCCTTCTGTGACTCCACATTCCCTACAGGATAAAATCCACATTTCTTTCCTGATATTTAGGGCCCTTGCGCTCTGTCCCAGCCAGACTCCCCGGCTCTGCCTGTGGCACATCCACTCAGTGAGCCTCCACTGCAGCCACCAAACGTGCTCCCACCTGGCCACCTGCACTTCCACACCTTTGCATACCTGCTCCCTTGGCCTGGAGCAACTTCCTCCCTCCTTGTTTGGATCAGAGGCTCTGAAACTTAAGGGTACATGGAAAAACTGGTTAAATATAGATTGCTGTTTCCCCATACTCAGAGTTTCTGATTCACTAGGTCTGCAATGGGTCCCAAGAATTTACATTTCTCGCAATTTCCCAGGTGATGCTGGTGCTAATGGTCTAGGGGCCACACTTTGGAAACTATGGCTTTAGGTAACTCTGGCCTGCCTTTCAAAGTCAACTCAGGCTTCTTTTCCTCCAGGAAGCCCACCCTGACTGGCCCCATTTTATACTGTGTTAAGTACCTCTTATAAGCCCCCATATTCCCCTGTTATTTCTTCTGTGCTAGTACGTAAAGGGTTGTGTAGAAATTGTCTTTCAGTCTATCTATATCTCCTCTCAATTTAAGCTCATTGAGGACTCTAACTCAACTATGTCTTATTCATCTGCATATCCTTGGTACCTCACAAGTGCCCCATACATAGTAGAGGCTCACTAAATTTTGTTAAATGAATACAAACCCCAATGTAAGCACAGAGCAGATGGAACCAAATGTTAAGGAAATGCATGATATAAGAAAGAGGAATATTAGCACTGTGTGCCAATCCTTCCTTACCTGAAATACTGCCTCTGTCTCCTCCCCAGTCTCCAGTTCTCTAGTCTGAACACCTCCCTTCCATCTTCCACACTGACTCTGCCACAACATTGCTTAAAACTCTTCCACAATCCCATACAGCCATCAGAAAAAAAAAAGAAAAGGCCAAATTTCTCATCCCAGTATTCAAAGCTCTCAGGTCTGGGCCCCAACATAATTTTCCAACCTTATCCCCATACACGTTATGTTCTCAATAATCCCAGACTGCTTTATGCTCCTGTGCTATTTCCTTCACAAAGAAACTTCTTCACGCTTTTCTACCTGGAAAGCTTGTATTGTGCTTCAAGGTCCATATCAAATATCACCATCTCCATGGAGCCTTCCCTGATTGTCATAGGCCTAATAACTTACTCTCGTAGTACCGTATACTTCTCTTTGTTGTTAACACTTAGACAAGTAAACAATCCTCTCTCTTACCCAGGAAGCTCTCACTACTAGACTACGTGTTCCTGAAAGAAAGTCAGTTACCTCTATTTCTCTGGCTCTTACCAGATACCCTGATCTACGGTAGGCACTCAATGTCTGTTTTATCCATCTGACTTCTACCCTGAGGAATATAAAAGCAAACTTGGGTTTTATGAGCTCCAAGCTCCATCAAGATTCCTTCACCATGTCCACCTCAAAAAGACCATTTCACTTATATTAAAACCAGGGCAAATCTCTTTACAACCTGAAAAAAATCTGGCCCCTGCTTGTCTAATCCACAAGCCCAGTGAGATCCCTAGCTTCTTCTCAGTGGGACCAAAATATCCTTACGTCACCAAATCATCATCTGAGGAAAATATTATGAAATCTGCCTAACAAATGGCATGGCCTCACTGTCCTTCCCACAGATTTGGGTGAAGAACAGAAGCTCAAGAGGCCTTTGCATGCCCTCACTTTGTGCAAAAAGGCATAAATATGATGTAAGGAGAGTCAGAGAGAGAGGGGGATAGATACAGCAACACAGAGACCAGGAAAGAGGCAGAAGAGAAACAAAGAGAAAAGCAAAAGCTAGACGAAAACATGAGAGAAGTTAAAAAGAAACAAGAAGGAGCAAATACAGTGAGGGATAAGAGACAACACAGCTAGAGAAAGTGATGAAGAGATACAGAAAAGAAAGACGGAGAAGAGACACATAGATAAAAAAAAGAAAAAATACATACAAGTACACATATATAAGTAGATAAGAGACAGTGAGAAACAGGGAAACAAAGACAGAGAAATGGACTAAAGAGAGAGAGACAAAGGCAGCCCACATCCCTGAGCTGCTAGACTGTGGTAGCCGGCTCACTGTAGGTAGGCACTGACGTGTTTTTGAAGTAATGTGAAGATAGAAAGAGATACACAGATGGACAGATAAGGAGCAGGAGAGAGCTCAACTCAGTGCCTGCTGTTTTTTCACCACATACTCTACATGTAACGGAAAAATGGTAAGTCAGCCAAGAGCATGCACAAGCGTGAGATCTCCAATTTCGGCAATGACCTTCAAAACTTTAAGGGCTCATCGGGAACAGAATGTCTTCTAGCCCAGCAAGGGCCAGGCCGACTCTGGGAAGAGGCCGATCATAAAAATCTTTTCTAAGATCAACGTGGTAATAAGCTGTTTATTTCATCTTTGATTGGCTCCATGGGGCAGGGAAAAGCACACTGCTCAGGGAATCTGGGTGCCTGGTTTCCCATGTGAGCCTTGTAGTTCACTTGCTCATTCATCAACTTGGCCAGCTCACTGTCCTCCAGGCCCCAAAGTTCCCAATTATGAAAGGAAGTCTGGGTGATGGGGTGATAGTTGAGCCAAATCACTTCTTTCAGCTTTTTGCTAAGTAAAATAATTTTTTTCCTAACAAAATCATGGGCAGACATCTAACACATAAAACCAATTGAAATTAAAAATGGAATTTCTCTGATTCAAAGTTAGATGGCAGTTCATTCAGACTCCAGGAAAAACTTATCTTCCTCTTTTCCGAGATTCCCTTGAATCAAATGGTAACTGGCTTCAAGTGCTATGAAAGTTCATGCAGCCAATATCAGACACAACCCTGCTTCTGAGAGTAGAGAAAACCTAAGAGCAGAAGTGCCCAGGTGGAAGAAAAGACAGACAGCATAAATGCAGCAGATTGTTGCACAGCAAAGTATTGCTTCTGGTGGTGCTGAAAGTCCACTTTCTTACTTCTTTTTTAATATTCCAATCCATAATCCCAAAGGCATTTACAAATGAACACCATGTGCACACTCGCAAGAAATGCTTTGTGATACTGACAATTCAATGGCTTAGAAATTTGTATATATGTCAAATTATTTTAACTAAACCTAAACATTTAAGATGAAATGTGAGTGAAGCGTGATGACTTTATAAAAGGGTGACTATATGGGTGTTGAATATTAGAATTTCAATAGTTTTATTTTTATAAAAATATTTAAATATTCTTAATTAAAATTTCAAAAAATTACATAAAATTTCAGCTTTACTTAAATATTCTAAAAAATTTCTATATTAATTTAGAATAATTTGTATTTTGCTTTTGATTTGCATATTTTAGAAAAATAGCTCTTCTGAAAGACATTGATTTTTATTTTTATATTTATTGATGAAATATCCAAATTCTATATGCTTTGAATAAAATTCATTTGATTTT